>NC_000001.11:247699273-247850788 GCF_000001405.40 Homo sapiens | reverse complement strand
TCCTTGGACATTGAGGGCCTAACACCTTCTGGTTATGGTTGTGTACATGGCTGATGTTCCAGGTACCCTTTGCCGGGTGCTCTCTCGAGTCTAAGCCTTGATGGTTTTGCAGGCCTGAGCACCCTTTTATCTCCATTTTCTCAGCTGTTGCTGATGAGCACAGAAGTTTTGTTATTTGGCTCACGCCTATAATCCCAGCACTTTGGGAGGCCGACACGAGTGGATCACGAGGTCAGGAGTTCAAGACCAGCCTGGCCAACATAGTGAAACCCCATCTCTACTAAAAATACAAAAATAAACCGGGCATTGTGGCGGGAGCCTGTAATCCCAGCTACTCGGGAGGCCGAGGCAGGAGAATTGCCTGAACCCGGGAGGCGGAGGTTGCAGTGAGCCAAGGTTGTGCCACCTCACTCCAGCCTGGGCGACAGAGTGAGACTCCATCTCAAAAAAAAAACAAAAAGAAAGTGGATACATAATCTTTGCTGGCTAGGTCATGCCTGTCTCTGCAAACATGCAGATATTACAAGAGCTAGATTTGTGATAAGCTATGAAAAGACCACCCCAAACAATGGACTGTTATACAATCCATAAAGGGTGCTTTATTCATTTTTTTCCTTTAATTTAGCAGGAGGAGAAAAGAGCTATGGTAGGAATTAACTGAAAAAGTAGCTGCAAAATAGCCAAGATTCAGGCTATATAAAATTTGCTGCAAAGAAAGCCAAGATACAGGCTGTATAAGTAGTAACCCAGTTGTTCTACCCCATATGTGGGACACAAAGAGTTTGGAAGGCAAGACATTAGGTTTGTAACTCTGAAAGACAGTTCTATGACTATTTAAAAAGATGTACTTTTTTCTGCACTGTCTTTCCTCCTCCAAATTTTCTAAAAACTGTACATATGAATCATATTATCTTGAAAAAATGCATATTGGTTAAATCAAACATCAATAGATCATAAATCCTGTCAGACTATAACATGGTGTGATTCACTGTTGTATCATAATGCCTGAATGAACTGCAGGCACATGGTAGGTATTTGTTGAATAAATGAATCATAAATAACCAAACAAAATATGTGATTTTTTGTTTTTATACATTTATTTATTCAACGCTTTAATATTTTCTCTTAGACTAAAATATATAAATTTAACTAGAAATATTAATAAATTTGCTCTTCTTAATTAGACTTCTATACACTGGAATTAAAAAAAAATCCTGCTATATTACGAATGGGTTGAAAATCTTTTCTTTTTTAGGCCGGGAGTGGTGGCTCATGCCTGTAATCCCAGCACTTTGAGAGGCCGAGGCAGGAGGATCACAAGGTCAGGAGTTTGAGACCAGCCTGGCCAATATAGAGAAACCCCATCTCTACTGAAAATACAAAAAAATTAGCTGGGCATGGTGGCGCATGCCTGTAATCCCAGCTACTCAGGAGGCTGAGGCAGGAGAATTGAACCCGGGAGGCAGAGGTTGCAGTGAGCTGAGATCATGCCACTGTACTCCAGCCTGGGCGACAGAGCGAGACTTCATCTCAAAAAAAAAAAAGAAAATATTTTATTTTTTAACTTCTCTTCTAAAACTCAAGCCTAATAGCCTCTCAGACCAATTTATATATTGCATTTTCTTTGTTAAATTGACAGATTTAAATTTAGAATGATCTTTGCTACAGATTGCTTTAATTGAATGAATTAATTAATTTGTGTTCATAATTTTTTCCATTTAGCCACGTCTGTAATTAAGGTATGCAGAGGAAATGCCATTCAGCAAAAAGCACCTGTTAAGTTTTCAGTCAGAACGGCTCACTCACCCACTCAGTGTCTGCTTGCTGGATTTTAGAGAAATCTCCATTTGTTTGATTCAGATTTTAGTTCAACATTTTTGGGACCTATCTTAAGTTAAATTAAAAAAATAAATCCTTTTCAAAAAGAATGGAAGAATTGCATGTGTCCATGTGTCTCAAATATTTTATCATCATCTAAGCCCCAGTGGGCAGGGTTGAATCTCAAAAGGTTGATTTGATTGTTTTCTGACTTGATTGTCAAATTATAGAATAATATCTGGGGAACAAGTTTCTCAGAAGGGCCAGGTCCCCAAGAAACCCAAGGCTATTGAAAGGAGAAGTTGGCTTTACCCAGTGTCAGACACCGGCAGAAGATGGCAAATTTCAGATCTCACAATGAAAGCACAGTAAGAGTTTGGGTTACAGGAGGGCACGGGTAGACATTGCCTAGAGCAGGGGCCATTTAGCGCTCTGGACGCCGGGAAAACAGACAGGTAGGGGGAGTTCATGCAGAGAAGAAGAAAATCAACGTGGTGTGTATTTTACTGTCAAATAACATAAATGTCCTTGTTTTGATTGTGTATGTTAGATTCTAAAAATACATCGACTTCAATAAATTATTCATCATTATCAAGGCAATTTTAGCCTTTGCAGATTCTCTATCTTTATGGAAACAGTAAATGATCTTGCCTAAATTATAAAACTGTAATAACAGACAATTAATCAAGAGTTCTCGAGAAGTCAAAAGGCCATTTAGTTTACTCTGGGCAAGATTGCATCTAAGAACAACAACATTCTTTTTTTTCTTTTTTTTTTTTTGAGACAGAGTTTTGCTCTGTTGCCCAGGCTAGAGTGCAATGGCATGATCTCGGCTCACTGCAACCTCTGCCTCCTGGGTTCAAGTGATTCTCCTGCCTCAGCCTCCCAGGGAGCTAGGATTACAGGCATCCGCCACCATGTCTGGCTAATTTTTGTGTTTTTAGTAGAGACGGGGTTTTACCATGTTGGCCATGATGGTCTCAAACTCCTGACCTCAGGTGATTCACCCTCTTCGGCCTCCCAAAAGGCTGAGATTACAGGCGTGAGCCACTGCCCCCAACAACAACATTCGTAATTATTTTTATTTCAAAGAAAGCTACAAAGTTAAATCTGAGGTTACCCTTGTTGCCCTAGAGCTAAAGCCAACCCAGTCTTTTGGGAAGCATTTTTTTTTTCCAGCTCAATGTAATTAAAGTAATTCTAGCACTTGGAAATAGTCAGTATTTAAGTAATCAGGCCCAGAGCACCTGTAATCCTAGCACTTTGGGAGGCCAAGGCAGGAGGATCACTGGAGCCAGGAGTTAAGGGCCAGCCTGGGCAATATAGCATGACCTCTACCTCTACAAAAAATATGTGGATATATAATTAACCAGTCATGGTGGCACACACCTGTGGTCCTAGCCACCCTGGCAGGAGGACACTTGAGCCTATAAGTTTGAGATTACAGTGAGCTATGATTGTGCCACTGCACTCCAGCCAGGGCAACGAAGCAAGACCTTGTCTCTTAAAAAAAAAAACAATCAGTATTTCAAAAGGTGGTGAGCTCTTCATTACTGAAAGGATTTAACCATGAAGCGATGATTATACAACAGTTCATTTTCCTTGTGCATTTGGATATGAATTGTGGGAGGTACTTTAGAAAACTAGGATCTGAGCCCAGTGTCCTGTAAACTTAGCCTATTGTAATAAAGGGCTGTTTTGTTTTCACTGTGGTCTCATCAAGGAGACCCTCATTGCGCTCCATGTTTAACTTATTTTTCTGTGGATGTTCATTTTAAATTGAATACCATGGTCATATTCTTATAAAATACTAAGTGAAAGCCAAAGCAAAAAGGAACCATTTTCCAAGAAAGCATTGTTGTTTTACCAAGAGTATTTATTATTATTATTATTATTATTATTATTATTATTATTATTATTTGAAACGGAGTCTCGCTCTATCACCCAGGCTGGAGTGCAGTGACGCGATCTCGGCTCATTGCAGCCTCCGCCTCCTGTGTTCAAGTGATTCTTCTGCCTCAGCCTCCTGAGTAGCTAGGACTACAGGTGCCCCCTACCACGCCTGGCTAAATTTGGTATTTTTAGTAGAGACAGGGTTTTACCATTTTGACCAAGCTTGTCTTGAATTCCTGACCTCAAGTGATCCACCCGCCTCGGCCTCCCAAAGTGCTGGGGTTACAGGCGTGAGCCACCGTGCCCGGCTGAATAAATAATCTATGTGAATAAATCAATCTATGTGGATCAAATAACAATTTTCTCACATCTCTTAGTTTTCGTTCAGTGTTTTCAAGCCAGAACTGCTGGAATATTTTGCCTTCAAACCAACATATACTTAACACTTTTATCTTGACTCTTATAAATTCTGAGAATGGCAGAAGAGTAGTTAGATCAGGCCTAAAGAAGAAGGTGTTATCTGAGCAGACTGGAAGGACATGAGAAATGAGCCATACAAAGCTGTTCAATGACAACGTTGCAGGGAACTAAACATGCTAAGGAGAAAACGAGGCACGTTTCAGGTAACTTGAAGAATACAAAGGAGGCGGAAGCACTGGGTGCAGAACGGACCAAGAAGAAAGTAGACTAAGAGTTTGGTGAGGCTGTGGGAGGAGAGAACAAGCAGGGCTGGGTAACCTGTCAAGGCTTTGTTTTTGTTTGTTGGTTGGTTGGTTTTTTGTTTTTGTTTCTTAAGCTTTATTGAAGAAATCAAGTACTATATAGTTCAATATATATGACACATTCAGTATTATACTCTTTTTAGCATGTGCAATAATGTTAAGATATTATTTTCTCTTGATATAATTATTTCCTGGCTACATGAAAATAATATTCCCAGTGACTTGGCCAAGAATGAGAGGAGAACGTAGAACAGAGCAGAAATAGTGAATTGCAACAGACATGAAGAACAGAAACAGCAAGTCAACAGAACGTCGATTCTGACAAAGCGGAAACTGCAGAGGTGAATATGTGGATTGTCTGGTCACAATGTTTTCTTCCTTTTCAGGAACAATTCACAGTACATCTGTGTTCACTGCAAAAACTCTCCCGTGTTTTAAAATATTCTCTTTGACTGCTTTCTTGAGTGGGGCAGGCTGGACGTGGAGGTGCTTTAACGAAACTATTGCAACAATCTAGATAAGAGATAGTGGTGCCTTTTCCAGGCAGCAAGCGATGGTGGTCGTAAATGGTGATCAGATCAGTTCTGAATACATTTTCAGGTGGAGCCAGTCAATTTTGCTGAAAAATTGGACATTGGGTTTGAAAGGAACAAGAGTCAAATTCAGAGTTTCTGGTCTGAGCAAGTGGGAGGATGGAGATGGGAAGGCTGCACTGAGGGAGGCTGGGGTAGTCAGGAGTGCTGGTCAGCTAAGTTAGGTCTCGTTAAATTGCAAATGCTGACTAGTCATGAGTGAGCATTTCACATAGGGCAGTTTTTACAGGACGCTTCTGTTCAAGCTTGAGACATAAATTTGAGGGCTGAGAGCAAAGTGACAGCATTCAAGTCAAGAGACTGCCTGAAACTGTGAAGGAAATGAAGGTAGATTGAAAGACACGAAGCCCTGTACAAGTGTGAAAAACCAGGGCTGTCGCTGATCTAAGAGAGTATGTAGTTGTGGATATTAAGTGACCAGTGGATCCAGGAAGAGGGAGGGATCAATGGTGCGATGATGCCACAGATGAAGAGGATCGGGAATGCGATGGGTGGTTGGAGGGCAATGCCAGCACAGCTGCGCCGTCTGGGGCAGTGGCAAGAAAAACATCCTGATCATAGTGCATTCCAGCGAGCAAGAAGGCAGAGGACGAGGAGCAGCAGGGAGGGACAGTGCCCTCCAGAAGGGAAAGCATCGGGAAAAGGGAGCAGAAAAGTGCAGGTAGTATTCAGAGAACAGCAAAGCCTCTAGACATTCTTCTCTGTTTTGTCTTTTTAAAGTGGGGGAGAGAAATCCAGCCCATTGACATGCTGAGGAAATGCTTTGGCAGAAAGGGCACCATGGGTGATTCAGGCATGAAGCTGAGAATACCCAGTGAAGGAGAGAAAAAAAGAATTTCTCTTCTCGACTTTCATTAAATTCACTGCTAGGACAGATTTTCATGAGCAAAACGCAGATCACCAAGAGAAAAACAAGCATGTTTATTTATGCATGTCATGCCCATCCACAAGAAAGAAAGCAGCTCTCTCAGGAAAACGGCTCACCTAGATTGTTGCGACGGTTTGGAAGCAGTGGCTTTGAGGCCTTGCTGAAATAGTATCTTAGCAAGGAGCCATACATCCTCTACGGTGACAAAACAAAAAAAACGGCATCTTCAGGCTTCCCAAAAGCAAGACATTTGGGAAGGAAAATTTACAGGAAGAGTAGTCTGTTCCGAGATCCCTGGCGTTGCTGTCTGAGCTGAGAAGCAAGCATTATAAAGGAGACTGTCTTCAGGTGGGAAGAGGCAGAGGGGAGGCAGGAAGACCTTTGTCTTTGTAAATCTTGGTCCTGCCTTCAGGAAAGCAGAGGAAGGGGCAGGTCCCCTGTGTGTTCGTCTTCTTCAGCTCAACACTCCTGAGTCTTTTGGATAGGAATAGTTTTGCCTCTGTCACCTGCAATACCTTTCCAGTGTGTAGGAGGTTATGGCGCCTAATGCCCAGGTGGAAGGATTTGCCTTAGACTTGGACACAGATAGTTTACTCAGAGGAAGTGTAGGGAGTAGGTGCACAGGAACAAAAGGTAGTCGATGGCAGAATTTAGTGGCCTGAGCTTGTGGATACTTCCACTGAAGGATTTCAGGATCTTCCAGTGAAATAAGTCTCTTACTGAGGGTACAGAGCAACAGGGATGTGCTAGACGTTCGAAAAGAGAGCAACATAAGTGAAATAGTCACTTAGGAGATTGGAAGAGTGAATAGATACGGGTATTGATAAAAACCAAAGTCTGTAACAAATATTTGAAGAGGTTTATTCTGAGCCAAATTTAAAGACCATGATCTGTGACAGTCCCAGGAGGTCCTGAGAATATGTGCTTAAGGTGGTTGTGTTACAGCTTGACTTTATCCATTTTAGGGAGACATAAGACATCAATCAGTACGTGTGAGCTATGCGTTGGTTTGGTCTGGAAAGGCAGGACAGCTCCAAGAATGGGGGAAGGTTACAGTCATACGTGGATGCAAAGACTTTTTGATTGGCAACTGGTTGAAAGAATTAAGTTATTGTCTGAAGACCTGGAATCAATAGAAAGGAGAATCTGGGTTAAGATAGGGGGGTTGGGGAAACCAAGGTTCTTATGATGTAGATGAAGTCTCATATGTTGCCAGCCTGAGAAGCAGCAGATGGGAAAAATGTTCTATTGAGACCTTTAAAAGGTGCTAGACTTTCAGCTAATCTCTTGAGGATCAGACAAAGGCCTGGAGAGGGAAAGGGATTCTCCGCAGAATGTAGATTTCCCCCACAAGAGACAGCTTTGCAGGGCCATTTTAAATATGACAAATAAATATATTTTGTGGTAAAATATTTCCATTTCCTTCAGGGTCGGCTGTCTGTCATGATGCTATACTAGAGTCAGGTTAGAATTTGGTAGCTTATTTCTACAGAGTCTGTTTCGTCAGCCTTAAAATCTCTTTTTTGATGTTATTGCTGCTCAGTTATGCCTGAATTCTGAAGAAAGGAGAGTGTAATGAGGTTTGTCCAACCCCCTCTTCCCATCATGATCTGAACCAGAATTTTTAGGTTTCTTTGAAATCCCCTTGGCTGAAAGGAGGAGTCCGCTCAGTCAGTTGTGGGGTTTAGAATTTTATTTTTGGTTTATAAGGGAAATACAGAATGATTGCTCTCCAGCAGTAAGGGCACACTGAGTTTGTTGGTTGTACATTTTAAAGAGGTTCTATTCTTGCTTGTCTCACTCCCTCAACTTCACAGAAGCTCCTGTATGGCAGGTGGATGTTTACTTTATCCAGAACTATAGACAATGAATTAAATGAAAGAATAAAAGGTGTACACGAGGGTGTAATTATAGTGGCTGAGCATGAGTATGGTATCGGATGAGGCAAGAAAGGACACCAGTGGAGTGAGGCAGATTAGTTCAGCACAGGCCTTCACACACACACACACACACACAAACACACACACACAAACACACACACACAGCAGGGACTAATAAATATTGTTTGAGGGTGGAATATATACACTTTCCCAAGATGGCATAGGAGATGTGCTGTGTCTGGCTTCTTTTTCAGACAAAGCCCACAGATGAGAAGGGAAAGGCATTTGCTTCCACATGTGCATGATTTTTTTTTTTTTTTTGAGACGGAGTCTCGCCCTGTCACCCAGGCTGGAATGCAGTGGTGCGATCTTGGCTCACTGCAATCTCCGCCTCCCGGATTCAAGCGATTCTCCAGCCCCAGCCTCCCACGTAGCTGGGATTACAGGCAGGCACCACTACACCCAGCTAATTTTTGTATTTTTAGTAGAGACGGGGTTTCACTGTGTTGCTCAGGCTGGTCTCGAACTCTTGACCTCGTGATACGCCCGCCTCGGCCTTCCAAAGTGCTGGTATTACAGGCGTGAGCCACTGCGCCCGGCCGTGCAGGATTTTTTTTAAAGCTTTGTTGTTATTGTTAGTTTTCTGAGTTTTTGTCCAGCTTTATTGAGGTGTAGTTGATAATTATTGTATACTATATATTTACAGTGTACAACTTTGTTCTCGTAGATGTATTCATTGTGAAATAATCATCACAATCAATCCAATTAACATATTCATCACCTCAATTTTTCTTTTTTGTATGGTGAGAACACTGAAGATCTACTAATAAGAGTCCTTTTTTGCCTGTCTTTGGAAGGAGACTTCAAGATTTCAGAGAACCCAGATGAATGAAACTTGCTGAGTCTCCTTACAAGATCTAATATTCACATTCAGCTTAAGATTTCAAAATGTATTCTTACGAAAGAGATATGGAATTATGCATTTATCCTTCTAAAAAGCTGTGCATACAGATCTAAACTATTTAAAAATTAATCTCTGAAGTTCCAAGCATCACCAGTGATAAATTTGCGCCTTGCATCCTGTGCTTTTCCAGAATGTTTTTCATCCCCCACAGGCAATGGAGCCCCAAAATACCTCCACTGTGACTAACTTTCAGCTGTTAGGATTCCAGAACCTTCTTGAATGGCAGGCCCTGCTCTTTGTCATTTTCCTGCTCATCTACTGCCTGACCATTATAGGGAATGTTGTCATCATCACCGTGGTGAGCCAGGGCCTGCGACTGCACTCCCCTATGTACATGTTCCTCCAGCATCTCTCCTTTCTGGAGGTCTGGTACACGTCCACCACTGTGCCCCTTCTCCTAGCCAACCTGCTGTCCTGGGGCCAAGCCATCTCCTTCTCTGCCTGCATGGCACAGCTCTACTTCTTCGTATTCCTCGGCGCCACCGAGTGCTTTCTCCTGGCCTTCATGGCCTATGACCGTTACCTGGCCATCTGCAGCCCACTCCGCTACCCCTTCCTCATGCATCGTGGGCTCTGTGCCAGGTTGGTGGTGGTCTCCTGGTGCACAGGGGTCAGCACAGGCTTTCTGCCTTCCCTGATGATTTCCAGGTTGGACTTCTGTGGGCGCAATCAGATTAACCATTTCTTCTGCGACCTCCCGCCACTCATGCAGCTCTCCTGTTCCAGAGTTTATATCACCGAGGTGACCATCTTCATCCTGTCAATTGCCGTGCTGTGCATTTGTTTTTTTCTGACACTGGGGCCCTATGTTTTCATTGTGTCCTCCATATTGAGAATCCCTTCCACCTCTGGCCGGAGAAAGACCTTTTCCACATGTGGCTCCCACCTGGCTGTTGTCACTCTCTACTACGGGACCATGATCTCCATGTATGTGTGTCCCAGTCCCCACCTGTTGCCTGAAATCAACAAGATCATTTCTGTCTTCTACACTGTGGTCACACCACTGCTGAACCCAGTTATCTACAGCTTGAGGAACAAAGACTTCAAAGAAGCTGTTAGAAAGGTCATGAGAAGGAAATGTGGTATTCTATGGAGTACAAGTAAAAGGAAGTTCCTTTATTAGGTAAAGAAAATTGCACAGAACATGCAGTGGATTAAATTCAGGGTTAAGTGAATGGTAGATTCAGACCTTTAAACCTGAAGATCATTGTCAGAACTGCATTGAATTCTGTAGGCCACAAAACAACAGCTTTTTGAGGGTTCCTCACTAGCAACTGGTCAGAAGATAAACTGCCTCCATCAAACCATTTTGAGGTCAGTTTTGTCCTAGACACTTTCTAACATCTTGTTAGGAAAATCTGATTGAATTCCAGTGGATGGTGATTACACACACATTACTTTCACATTCTACAATAAGATTTCCCTTTGTTTACATAACCTTATGTACAGAAAGCTCTGCATCTTTTAAGTACTCTTAGTAGACTGGCCTTGTGGACCTAAAACCTGGTGGGTGCCATTGGTGCTTATTAAATAGCAGTAGAAAGAATAAATAAAAAAAAGAAGACATTTAAAATGTTTGTTGACCTACATTATCTCCTAAAGATAAGAAAGAAGTAAGGCCTTTGAAGTGCCAAATATTCATCTACAAGACCTTAGATGTTTTAGTGTTTTTTGTTTAATGAAATTGTGGGAAGGAAGGGAGGGAGGGAGGGAGGGAGGAAAGGAGGGAAGGGAGGGAGGGAGGAAGGAGAAGATCCTCAGTATTCTGTGCTACTGTGAGTCCTGAGAGTCAGAGGATGTCACTAAAATGTTTAAATCACTTTTTATTTTCTTGAGACAGAGTCTCACTCTGTCGCCCAGGCTGGAGTGCAATGGCACGATTTTGGCTCACTGCAACCTCCACCTCCCAGGTTCAAGCGATTCTCCTGCTTCAGCCTCCTGAGTAGCTGGGAATACAGGCATGCACCACCAGGCCCAGCTAATTTTTGTATTTTTTTTTTTTTTAGTAGAGATAGAGTTTCACCCTGTTGGTCAGGCAGGTCTTGAACTCCTGACCTCAAGCTCCACCCGCCTCGGCCTCTCAAAGTGCTGGGATTACAGGGGTGAGCCACCGCGCCCAGGCTCTTAAATCACTTTTATAGTTTATTTTATTCAGCCAGTTTAGAAGATCTCTACAAATCCTGCCCATTGTTTGATTCATTAATTCTACAAATATTTTTAATCTCATGAAGCATGCCACGTCCTGTGCCACAGTCTGAATTTCCCGGAAAGACAATGACATAGAAAGGACCAAGCAAGCCAGGCACAGTGGCTCACGCCTGTAATTCCAGCACTTTGGGAGGCCAAGGTGGGCGGTCACCTGAGGTCGGGAGTTCGAGACCAGCCTGGCCAACATGGAAAAACCCCGTCTCTACTAAAAATACAAAATTAGCCGGGCAAGGGGCATGCCTGTTATCCCAGCTACTAGGGAGGCTGAGGCAGCAGAATCACTTGAACCCAGGAGGCAGAGGTTGCTGTGAGCTGAGATCATGCCATTGCACTCCAGCCTGGGCAACAAGAATGAAACTCCATCTCAAAAAAAAAAAAAAAAAGAAAAAAGAAAGAAAGGGCCAAGCAAGACTTTACCTTAATAGACCTTCCAATGCAGAAGGGAGGAGAAAAATGTAACAAATCATAAAGCAATGATTGATTTATTTCTACTTGTGATGATCACTATGAAATAATAAAGTGAGGCCGGGCGCAGTAGCTCACCCCTGTAATCCCAGAACTTTGGGAGGCCGAGGCGGGCGGATCATGAGGTCAGGAGATCGAGACCATCCTGGCTAACACAGTGAAACCCCATCTCTACTAAAAATACAAAAAATTAGCCAGGTGTGGTGGCGGGTGCCTGTAGTCCCAGCTACTCGGGAGGCTGAGGCAGGAGAATGGCGTGAACCCGGGAGGCGCAGCTTGCAGTGAGCCGAGATTGCACCACTGCACTCCAGCCTGGGTGACAGAGCGAGACTCCATCCCAAAGAAAAGAAATAATAAAGTGCAAGCTGGAGCATGAACACAGGACGACAAGTCTGAGTCAACATACATGATTAGGGAAGCTTTCTATGTTATGTAGCACTTCACCTACGCTTCAAGAGTGAGGAGAACAAGAGTGGAGAGTAGTCCAGCTAGGGCATGGCAGAAGAAGGCTGAGGAACTGGGGAGATAGAGGAAGGAGCTCAGTCTGGAGAGAATGGTAGGGGCTAATCCATCTCTGTCATTAAAAACCTCATAGGGTTTTCAGATCTTGCACTAAGGGAAATGATTATCAAAACATACTAATTAGGGAATGACATGATATATTTTGCATGTGTGAATTCCATTGCTGTGTAGAGAAAAGACTAAAAGAGAGCAAGAGCTGTTGGGGTCATTGCAGTAGCCCATGCAGGAGCGGAAGTTGGTTTGATTTTAGGTTTCATGATGTAATCCATCACAGGAAGTACCTCATGGATGGTGAGGTTGGGAGTACCTGTTCCGGTCTCACTCGTTCCAGTGCAGTGGTCCCTGAGCCTCAGGGTTCAATGCACTTTCACCCTCTAGCTCATGTAATTTCCCCCACCACGTGTCCTTGGGTTCTTTCACCTGCCTTTTTCTAGCCCTCACATTTTCTCTCCTTTCTGGGATTTGACCTGTGAGAAATGTCCTCAGTCCTTTTTTGATTCATCTGGTTCAAATATTGGGTAGAAGGAAAGTGATGCATTAGAATCTCAGATCAGGAAATGGGTGCAGTAGGGAGAGAAGTCTCATTGGTTTCAGCTTTTCGGTAGAGTACCCAAACGATCAATATCTTACCTTGCAGATGGTCATCTCTGATTAGTATATTAGCTGTGCCTTATGTTTAACTGGACTTATGTTACTCTACCAAAAGCTTTTTCTAACGTGTTAAATTTGGTGGTGCAGGGCTCTGCATACGGAGAGTAAAAAATTATTGATCCACATATTAGGGACAGTAAGAAATTACACCAAAAGAACATTTGGATGTATGGATCTGGAGCTCAGAGGAGGGGCCTGGCCGAAAGTTAAAAATTTGGAAGTTTTTAACATATAGATGATATTTGAAAATATGGAAACAAATTCGATTTTTTCAGGAAGAGTGCAAACCAATATAATAAGAGAGTGAAGAACAGAGCACAAAAGAATTTTAAAACATTAAATTTAATTGAAGGAAAAGAAACCCCAAAAGGAGCTGGCAGGAATGACCACAGAAGCTGGGGGCACTTGTGAGGTGGCTGCATTTCTCTAAGAGGTGAGAGTGTTGTGAGAAGGAAGAGGCACAGAGGTTGGGGGGCACTTATGAGGTGGCTGCATTTCTCTAAGGGGTGAGAGTGTTGGGGGAAGGAAGAGGCAGTCAACATGGAAGATGAGGATTAAAGGGTTATCATCAAACTTCTCATCACAGACTTCAGTGTTGTTCCCGGGAAGGGCAGCATGATTGGCATCGGGGTAGTGCACATCAGACTAGTGGCAATGGGGCAGGAATGACTTGTAAAACAATGGAAGCAATTGTGTGTGAAACAGTTATCCTGAGACATGTAATTCTTCTTCTTCTTCTTTTTTTTTTTTTTTTTTTTTTTTGAGAAGGAGTTTTGCTCTTGTTGTCCAGGCTGGAGTACAATGGTGTGATCTCGGCTCACCATAACCTCCGCTTACCGGGTTCAAGCGATTCTCCTGCCTCAGTCTCCCCAGTAGCTGGGATTACAGGGGGGCGCCAATACGCCTGGCTAATTTGTTGTATTTTTAGTAGAGACAGGGTTTCTCCATGTTGGTCAGGCTGGTCTCGAACTCCCGACCTCAGGTGATCAGCCCGCCTCGGCCTCCCAAAGTGCCGAGATTACAGGGGTGAGCCACCGTGCCCGGCCATGAGACACATAATTTTGAAAGGTTGAAAGAAAAAATTGTGTTGGAGGGGCAGTTGTACTTTTGTAAGATGTTAGCATCTAAGTAAGTTTGAACACTTATGGGAAAGGTCCATAGTGATAAAAAATAAATCAGAGGAATCAATATAGAAAGTGATGACTGATAGCCTGAGATAAAACAAGAAGGCATCTTGTTCAAATGTGGAAATACCAACATTCAGTACGGGAAGTGTTTTCTTTAGTGTAGGAGGCAGAAAGGAGAGGATCATCGTAGTCTTATGAGGATTTAAAGAAATGGAGATAGGGCCAGGCTCAATGGCTCGCATCTTTAATCCTAGCACTTTGGGAGCCAAGGCGGGAATATGGTTGAGCCCAGGAATTGGAGACTAGCCTGGGCAACAAAGAATGACTATGTGTCTACCAAAAATAGTAAAAATTATCTGATCATGGTGGCATGTGCCTGTAATGCTAGTTACTCAGAAGGCTGAAGCAGGAGGATCACTTGAACCCAGTAGGTAGAGGCTGCAGTGAGCCATGACTGTGCCACTGCACTCTACCCTGGGCAACAGAGTGAGACCCTGTCTCAAATAAAAAAGGAAAGAAATGGAAATGGCACTTGTACAATTTCCCACCTGAGGAGTTACATGACACATTTTCGTGACAAGGCCAATTGTTCTTATTTACCATAGACAGTGTAGGTCAGGATTTGAAGAAAGTGGCAAAGGCATTCCATACTCATCTTGCAGAGTGAGACTGACAGCTGACTGAAGACACAGAGGTGGACTTGCGAGCAAAAATGAAAGCTTAGTTGAAATAGGGTATGATTGATTTATTGTAATACTAGCTTGCCTGTGTACTTTTATCTCTTTTTTTTTTTTTTTTTTTTTTTTTTTGAGACGGAGTCTTGTTCTGTTGCCCAGGCTGGAGTGCAGTGGTGCAATCTCGGCTCACTGCAACCTCCGCCTCCTGGGTTCATTCTCCCTGCCTCAGCCTCCCGAGTAGCTGGGACTACAGGCACCCACTACCACGCCCGGCTAATTTTTTATCTTTTTTAGTGGAGACAAGGTTTCATCACGTAGACCAGACTGGTGTTGAACTCCTGGCCTCAGGTGATCCGCCTGCCTCAGCCTCCCAAAGTGCTGGGATTACAGGGGTGAGCCACCGTGCCCGACCTCTCTTTTGCATTTTAAGCTTTTATATTTAGTATATTTATTCTAGCAAACTGCATAGGGCTTTGTATTTCAATCTGATATTTATAACAGTAAAAATTAATATATTCATGTTTATTGATACAATTCTTATTGTTGCAGATTCATAATTCATATTTCCATTTTTTGTTTTCTAAAATTTGTTTTATTTCTCATTGTGTAAACAGATTGTGTTTCTCTCATTATTCCCACTTTTCTTTGTTGAGATAATAATGCTCCACTGATGCCAAAGTTATATAATCTTACTATAGTTTATACGGTTCTACTTATTTTAATATGATAATTTTAATTAATTAATTTTTTATATGTTTGAGACAGGGTCTGGCTGTGTCTCACACTGTTTCCTACGCTGGAGTGCAATGGCACGATCATAGCTCATTGCAGCCTCGACCTCCTGGGCTCAAGCAATCCTTCTGCCTAAGCCTCCTGAGTAGCTGGGACTACCGGCATGTGCCACCACACCCGACTAATTTTTAAATCATTTCTAGAGGTGGTGCCTCTCTATGTTGCCAGGCTGGTCTCCAACTACTGGGCTCACACGAGCCTCCCACCTTGGCCTCCCAAAAATGCTGGGATTACTGACGTGAGCCACCGCACCAGCCTATGATAATTTTTAAACTTGAGAATTCTTTCTGTAATTCACAAGTTTGCAATAATACCAAATTATTGCAAATTTTTGCTCCATATGGGCAATGTTGGCACTAATCTACATCAGCAAAACCTTGTCTCAGAGACTTTTTTCATCTCCAGCTAATTGAGACACAAACTTTTATTCAAACATTTAGTTGATCCTATCAAAGATAGTTTTGTAAAAGATTGAAAAATTATCAACACTTTTGCAAATATTTATACTTTATTTCTATAGTGCTTTTATACCAACTGCAAGATTTTGAATAAATTAACCTCCATGTGCTTCCATACAAGGCAAAGATAAATAAAAGTTAGAAAAGGGGGATATGTTTAAACTTAAAGAGACAATAATTTTCAGTGTGTGAAGGAGGGTAAACTAATTCACCTGTAGTTTTCCACCCTTACTGGCAGTTGGAGCAGTTGGAGTTCCAGACTCCTAGGTGCTCAAGTGCCTCTGTTATAATTGGCTGCCGTGTGCACCTATGGTCCAATGTGACACTGGAAGCCATAGCTGCCCCACTGACTTTGAACTGGAATCCTGAGCCCTCTACATGTGCTCGCAACATCCCAGGCAGCTTAGTCCCCACAAGGTAAACATTGAAAATAAACTGCTATGATATTTACAACTACCAAGTACATCTTTTATTGCTCCATTTATTAAAACACGTGACAAATTTGTTAAATATGTTAAATATATTAGACCTAGGAAATATAGGTCAATATGTTAAATATATTATTAGATCTAGGAAATACAAGTCTACTAATATATTTAACATATATCCTCCCCCTCCCAAGAATTATGGAATATAAAAAAGAAAGACAGATTTAGAGAAGTTGATTATCATATAACTTAATCTGGATTTTATAGGAAATATTGCACTCAACTATAATTTCAACCATGTTGCTCAATTTTTTTAGAAACAAAAAAAGGGGCTAAAACTATTTCTTCTCACTTTATCCTGAAGTTTGTAATTTGATAAGTGAATTACCTTGTTTGTTCTATAGCTCTCTTTATAGTAAAACGAGATATGAAGCATGGAAAGGGGAAATTGGACATTGGTGACTGAGTTTATTCTTGTGGGGATACCAACCACCAGAGCCCTTGGGGGCCTCCTCTTTGTGATTTTTTATCAGCCTATTTGGTGACAGTCCTTGGAAACACCCTTATTATTATCCTGATTCTTGTGGATTACAGGCTCCACTCACCCATGTATTTCTTCCTCAGCAATCTCTCTTTCAGTGAAACATTAACCATAACCTGTGCTGTTCCTAAGATGCTGGAGGGCTTCCCGTCGGAAAGGAAGAGCATCACAAGTGGCGAATGCTCTGCACAGTCCTATTTCTATTTTCTTTCCGGATGCACTGAGTTTATTCCTTTTGCTGTCATGTCCTATGACCGCTATGTGGCCATTTGCAGTCCTCTTCAGTACCCTGCAATTATGACCAGCTCACTCTGTGCCCACCTCGTCATCCTCTCCTGGGTGGGTGGCTTTCTCCTCATGCTCCCATCCACCATCCTCAAGGCAGGACTGCCACACTGTGGTCCCAACGTGATTGAGCACTTTTTCTGTGACAGCGCCCCTCTCCTCCACCTGGCCTGTGCTGACATTCGTGCTATTGAGCTGTTGGACTTTCTCAGCTCACTGGTCCTGATCCTCAGCTCCCTCTCACTCACAGTGGTCTCCTATGTTTACATCATCTCCACCATTCTGAAGATACCCTCAGGCCAAGGTCAACGCAAAGCCTTTGCCACCTGTGCCTCTCACTTCACGGTGGTCTCCGTGGGCTATGGGATCTCCATCTTTGTCTATGTTCACCCCTCACAGAAGAGCAGCCTGCACCTCAACAAGATCCTCTTTATCCTCTCCAGCATCATCACACCCCTCCTGAATCCCTTCGTCTTCAGTCTGTGGAATGAACCCATGAAAGATGCACTGAAGGACGCCTCGGCCGGAGGACAGAGCTTGCTCAAAGGGGTAAGGTCCACATGAGGATTCTCTGAGAATCCTCTTAGTCCTGGATGTATTCAGCTTCATCAATGATGATTCTAACAAAGTCCTAAGACATTTGTAAATGAATAGATGATCTTAGTTATGAAAAAATTTCCAGTTTTCATAATGAAATGTACCAGGTTTTGTGCAATTTAAATTTCCAATATTGTGTTTCATTAATGAAACTTCTCGTTATAGGTGGTAAGAGGATGTGGTGGTGGGTAAGAGTGTGTGCGTATATATATTTATATATATTTTTTTCATATCTATGCACTGTGGAAAGGAAAGTTTTCAGAGCACGTCTCCTCTCAACACAAATACACTTAAACAAAAATTCATCCTTGGAATATAATTTCAGAAGTTGTATTATGGGCTTAAACTCTATATTACTTTGAATATAGGTCATTAATTTTTTAATTTATCATTTTCATTCATTTTTACTAATGGCATTTGCTTTTTGGATGAGCAAATGGAAAATGTCTAAATAAAGTGCTTAAAATATTTCTGTATATTGATTTGTTTTCTATCTTTCACAGTTTAAGTACAAGTATTTTATAATTTAGTATTAAGGTTATTCTGAAAAAATTAATTGCCAACATTTGTAATGAGCGAGGCAATGAAGGAATACATGATCATTGGAGAAAAATAACAAAAAACAAAAAAATGAAGAAAATGGATTTGTCAAGGACAAAGAGGAAAACATTTTTGTACAGTCAGAAAATAATTGTTTGGGAATTGATAGTATCAGAAACTTTGAGAGCGAGCATGCTGATATAAGCTTCGGGAAACGTAGTGCACATCTAAACTGCTAACAGGGATAACAGAAAAAAATGGAAAATTGAACATGAAAGTAAAATAATATAAATTTTCTAAGCTGAAGTATAAAAGGAAAAACAATACAGAAAAATGAGCACACCAACAGGGAGTTTTGTCACAGTAGAACATTCTCTAACTTATGTATAATTGCAGTCACACTTAGAAAGGATTAGAGAAACTGTGAAAGAAAACGAATATACAGAACTAGTAACTAAATAATTCCCAATTTGTATTTAAAAAATCCTAGATTTCAAAAAAAAAAGATAATAAAACCCAAACAATACAATAAATAACATCTTGGCACGTACTAGTCTGTTTTAAACTAAACCTCAAAATAAAATTTAAAAAGAACCATTAAAAAATGACACATTGGATGCTGGGGGAAAAGTTTAAAAATAATCATTGAGTTTTCATCAATAACAATGGTAGGCACAGGACAACTGAAAGACATGTTTTAAAGGCTGAAAGAATAAAATGAGCAAATATATAAACAAAAAGCCATGGAAATCAAACATCTATATCCTCCCAAAGCTGTGATATAGAATAATAACTTTTCTTTTTTCTTTTTCTTTTCTTTTCTTTTCTTTTCTTTTTTTTTTTTGAGACAGCATCCTACTCTGTTGGCCAGGCTGGAGTGCAGTGGCGTGATCTGGGCTTACTGCAACCTCTGACTCCCGGGTTCAAGCGATTCCTTGCCTCAGCCTCCTGAGTAGCTGGGATTTCAGTCACGCGCCACCACGCCCAGCTCATTTTGTTGTATTTTTAGTAGAGACGGGGTTTAGCCATGTTGGCCAGGCTGGTCTCAAACTCCTGACCTCAGGTGATCTGCCCGCCTCAGCCTCCCAAAGTGCTGAGATTACAGGCATGAGCCACCGCACCTGGCCAGAATAATAACTTTCTGATTAGAGCCATAAGAAAGCAGAAAGTATTTGTCACCACACATGTAGATAATAAGTAATATTAAAAGGTATCTACAGGTAAATAGGAAATGATTACCAATGGAAAATTGTATCAATTAAATGAAACAGAATGCACCAGAAATGGTTATTAAGTTAGGTCATAACAAAGACTTTGCTTTATTTTTTCTTGTAATTTAAAAAACAAGAGACTGCTTAAAGCATAAACAGCATGAAAATGTAATGTGGAATAAATAGAAGTAATATATATGACAAAAATTGTCTAATAGTTATTACATTTTTGGAATAGGAAATGTGACTAGGAAATAGGAAACAGGATGCAGGAAGTCTAGGTCTAGACATTTTTACTGTTGTTTTCGGAAGGAAGAAGGATGAACTATAAAGTGTGGTATAGTTGTAAAATATGAACTATTATAGATTTTAATAAATTAAATATACAATATTAGCTTTAAAGCAAGTACTAAAAATAATAGTAATATTATGTAGTATACCTAAAAATTCAATAGGAGAAATGAAAGGAAACACTAAAATAATATGTTAACAACAACGAGAGAGGATAGGATAAACCGTGAAACAAAAGCAATTAGGATGAATGGAAAATAAATGACACCCAAGGATGTGCCAATAAACATATATTTATAGATCAGTTCTCTCTGGGAGAAAGAAACCAGTTGTTGAGAGACTCCTACCCTCTGCGCAACAAAGAAAACATCCACATCAGAAGGGTAGGAAAAGCTGAGGCACACTCCAGCATGGACCCCGCTCCAGGCACTGTGCCACACAATCAGGAAGGGAATCCTCAACACTCAGCTCTCCCCTGTGGAGAAAAGAGTTCGGACCTCACATATATCACCCTAACTCTAAGGTCCCCCACGGCATGGCTCTTAATTCACCATCTCTGAGAGCAGAGGGGATTAGGCATGAGCAAGTCTCTCTATAACACAAGAAAAAGAGAGGCAGTTTGCTATTGATACGGCTGTGGATGCGTTTCCAGGGGCTCCACCCTTTGGGAAAAGAGCTCGGCGTTTCTCCCCAAAAACACACTCTTCCAATGGCTTCTCAGTTCCATCGTGAATTTGCAATGACAGACAAATTGTAGCCTGCTGGCATCCTGAGAGGAAAATCAGCACTTCCCATGCCTTCTTCCTGGGCTTGCCTCAGAGATAAATCCAGATCTATTCATCTCTCTTGGGAAGGAGATTGTCGAAACGTCAAATGCCTCAAGTTTTACCGCTCCCACTGGAAAGACTGCATCCTAAACTTCCTAGCTCTGGATGCAGAAGGGCCTTGGCATATGTGAGTCATCTTAGATCATGAACAAAGAGGTGGTTTTAAACAAGACTGCAAACATTTCCATTTTGGGGGCTACACCTTTGAGAGTAGTGTTGCAGAAAAAGGGCTGGGACATGCAGCTCTAAATCTCTCCTAAGAGGTTTACAGCACACATTTCCAGTAGATACTTGACAGCCTGACAATAAACTTGCATTGAAGAGCTAACAGGGCAGACAGACAATAGCCCTCTGGCTGCCTGAGCCAGGGCTAAGAACTTCCCAAGCCTTTCCTCTGGCCCACCTCAGTGATAAACCCAATCTGTCCATTCTTCCTCGAAGGAGCTTATCCATGCATCAGGTGCTACAACTACTATAGCTCACACTCAAGTGACTATCTCTTTCATGACCTAGCCCTGGGAGTCAATGAAGTTTTGCATTCCTGTGGCCCTAGACCACAGAAAACAAAGAGGTGGACATACAATGGGCTAATTTCCAAGAGCCATCTGCTCTGTATCAAAGGGTGCAGTATGAATGTGCACACAGGCATTTGCCACAGATCCCCCCAGCTTAGTGCAGAGAGTGGAAAAGCCCATGTTCACCTTCAACATGAGGATAGAAAGAAATCCAGTGCACAGCCAAAACCCCAGCCTTTCCAGTTATAGCTAGAGGGTCTGGCTTCAAGTTTATTTCTCTGCTTCTGTGAGTTCAATTGATTTAGATTCCACATATAAGTGAGAGCATGTGGTTTTTCTCTTTCTGTGTTTGGTTTATTTCACGTAGCATAATGTTCTCCATTCCCATCCATGTTGTCACAAATGACAGAGTTTCTTCCACTTTGAGGATGACATGCCACATTTTCTTTACCCATTCATACCTTGATAGATACTTAGGTTGATTCCAGAACTTGGCTGTTGTGAATAATGCTGCAATGAACACGGGAGTACAGACATCTCTTTGACATATTGATTTTCAATCTTATGGGTAATTACCCAGAAGTGAGATTGATGAATTATATGGTAGTTCAATTTTTAGTTTTCTGAGGAACCCCCATTATGGCTGTACTAATTTACATTCTTACCAACAGTGTACAAGGGTTCCCTTTTCTCACATCCTCACCAACACTTATCTTTTGTCTTTTTTTATTATATCCATTCTTACAGGTGTCAGGTGACACTTTGTGGTGCAGAAGATTTTTATTTTGATGTAATCCCATTTGTCTATTTTTGATTTTGTTGTTTGTGATTTGACTTTTGGGGTCAAATTTAGAAAAAAAAAAACAACATTGCCCAGACCAATGTTATATAGTTTTAACCCTACATTTTCTTAGTAGTTTTACAGCTTCAAGCCTTATGTCAAGTCTTTAATTCATTCTGAGTTGACTTTTGTATATAGTATGAGATAAGGTCTAATTTTATGCTTTTGCATATGGATATCCAGTATTCCCAACACCTTTTATTGACTGTCCTTTTCCTATTGTATATTTTTGGCACCTTCGTCAAAAACTACTTGACTATGGGTGCATGGGCTCCACTTATTTCTAGGCTCTCTAAACTGTTCCATTGATTGATGTGTCTATATTTACACTGTCACCCAGGCTGGAGTGCAGTGGAACAATCTCAGCTCACTGCAACCTTCGCCTCCCAGCCTTAGGCAATCCTCTCACCTCATCCTCCTGAGTAATTGGGACTACAGGCGCATACCACCATGCCCAGCTAATTTTTGTATTTCTTTTTGTAGAGATAGGGTATCACTATGTTTCCCAGGCTGGTCTCGAACTCCTGGTCTCACGTGATCCTCACGCCTTGGCCTCCCAAAGTGCTGAGACTACAGACATGAGCCACAGTGCCCAGCCTGGTTATCTGTTTTTTGAATAGTGACCCTAACACGCTTTTCCAGTTCCAGTAACTTTTGAGAAAATTTTTCAGCAATGTCTTTATCTAGATCCATCTTCTGGGTCATTATGTAATTTCTTCCAAAGCCAGTGGTGGCACTCAGATATTTGATCAGAGGATTGAGAGATTCGAGCTTTTGGTGGAAAAGCCATACCAGTGATTCTATTCCATTGTATGGTGTCAAAGTGAATGCATCTGCAAAAAAGCGAAGCAGCCATATTAGTGGCATCAACAGTGTCCAACAAAGGGAGCCAGAAATCTATATGTCAAACTGGTGAATGCTCTACCTGGACATACTACATTGGAATAGATACCCTGCAGGTTGAAGTTCCTGTTCAAAGCCACACTCAGAAGGTCAGTGGCATATCTGGAAGAGCTGTAGGGTTCCTTGCCTTTGCTTGGCTTGGCAAAGATGCTTGTCGGCATCTTTGATGCTGAAATTAGATTTCCTTGCATTGCGAGACGATGTCCAGGTAAGTTGAGATGGATTGTCACCATGGTGAAGAGAGGCTCCAGTTCCTGAATCAGGATAAAACGGCCAAAGACATTGTTCTTAAACACCTCCTGAAGTCCATTAGCAGTAATCTTATCATCCTGGGTCAGCAGGCCTTCAGCTATGGAGAACATATGAATCACTTTTCTTCAAAAGAGGCCAAAGAAGTGTTTTGACATTTAGCTGTGGACTGGGCATGATCCCAGCATTTTGACTTATATATAGTCTAATTTCTGAAACCTTTGCTTAAGTCACTTGGAGGCCCAGAAAACTGACTGCAGGTAGCTGACATGGTGGTGGGGTGAGAGGCCAGCGGAGCAGCATGGACAGCTTCTGTCTTACTTCATGTTCCTGCACGTCAAACAGATGAAGCTCATCATCTTCCACCAGCAGCCGCTTTCAGAGGGCCAGGCCAATGCCACTGCTTGCCCCGGTGATCAAAAACACCTTTTGCATCTTCGTGCCTGCACACTTCCAGGCCTAAATTAATTTTCAAGCAGTTTATGCTATGATGATGATATTCAGTTGTAACCTTGACTTTAGCCAAATACTGGTTTTAATGAGTGCTACCATGTGTATTTGGATCCCATTTATGAATTGTTAAAAAATAAAATAAAATCTTGATTTTTTGGATTTATTGTGTTGCCATCTGCCCATATTGTAAATTTTACTTTCAAATGATTAAAATTTTTATTTTTTGGCTTTAACATTTTGATTTATTAATATTAATGCACATTACTGTAATAACTTTATTACCTACAAAAATACTGAAACGTAATAAAAATCAATTATTTTAGTTAGGAAATTAATTAGACTATTTAAAAGTAGTTCTTAAGACAGTATCATTGCTAACTTTTTGTTGACTTTGAATAATGTAATAAAAATCTTTTAGTAAGTTAAAATGTTAAATCGGCCAGGCGCGGTGGCTCACATCTGTAATACCAGCACTTTGGGAGACTGAGGTGGGCGGATCACGAGGTCAGGAGATCGACACCACCCTGGCCAATGTGTTGAAACCCTGTCTCTACTAAAAGTACAAAAAAATTAGCTGGGTGTGATGGCGTGTGCCTGTAGTCCCAGGTACTCGGGAGGCAGAGGCAGGATGATCACTTGAACCCGGGAGGCAGAGGTTGCAGTGAGCTGAAATCACGCCACTGCACTCCAGCCTGCCGACAGAGCGAGACTCTGTCTCAAAAAAAAAAAAAAAAAAAAAAGTTAAATCATGTCTCAAGACTGTATGTATTCAAATTCATTTAGTCACAATTACTCATGATTATGCATTTTATCTCACTTTGAGTTAGTAAATTATTTTATATTCTTATCTCTTTATATAATGGACCTCAAAGAGTTTCTTATTCACATAATTATAGTTGTGAACTATAAAATATGTGAACACTTTTCTAATTTTTTAAGATTTGTTTCAAAGTTCTCAATTTGGAAGAAGTCCATACGTTGCAATTGTTGAACTGAAAATATAAAGAAACATGCACCATATATTTAAAAATTAACTTGAAAGAATAAAAAAGTTTAAGAAATAAAGTATGAGAATAATTATTGACCACACAGATTTGGAGAAAGAGCCAAGTAGAACTTCAAATGTGGAAGCAGATTATTGTTTAAAATGAAATTCCTATAAATTTTAATAAAAAATTATTACATTGAGATAATTTTCCAGAACATTTAACAGAGAATAGAAAAATGAAATTTCACAAACACACACATACACAAGAAGTCAGGAATAAGTTAGGAATATAAGAAACGAAAAAGAAAATAAGAATCAAAAAGAAGGATGAGAGATAATGTCTTAGGGGTAATGGCTGATATTTTTTCAAAATTGTGAAAGGTATGAATTGAAGAACAATTTATCCTGACCGGATAGATAACAAATAATCTACAGATTGTGTGTAGAATGTGTGTGTGTGTGTGTATATATAATGTGTGTGTGTATATATATGTGTGTGTATATATATGTGTGTGTATATATATACACACACATATATATACACATATATATACACACATATATATACACACATATATATACACACATATATACACACACACACACATATATATATATATATATATATATATATATGCCCAACTGGATCCATTGTTAACTCTCCTCCAGCCTGCACTGTGGCCTGTAGTCTAAGTTTTCTGGACTGTATCAGCAAAGTCACTGTCCTTGGCTTCTGGTTAGATCAGGCCAATGAGGAGAATTTGCAGAGCAGATAGAATTAAGTTCTGTTTAGGGAATTTAATCTTCGGTTCTGTTTTTGTGAAAGTCTCTCAGGTTGGTTGCATAATCTGATTGAAGCTTTCATCTCTGCCCGCCAGCACTTCCGCCCGCCAGCACTTCCGCCCGCCAGCACTTCCGCCGGCCAGCACTTCCGCCCGCCAGCACTTCCCCCGATCTCTTTCTCCTTTTTGCTTTACTCCTTTACTGCACCATTTCAGCCGTAAAGATGGCTGAGGTGTTCTAATGTCACTAGCAGTAACTTTATAAATAACCAGCTTTGTAAATATCTATATTTACATTCAAAGATCACTGCACACTCAAAGAGGCGGACTACCATGTCTGAGTTTCATTTAAAAAAAAAGATCATAAATTTGATTCCAAGTTACACAAGTATCTAAATGGCCAATGTTCAAATATGGTAGAGATATTTACATGTAAAAGTGTAAAGCATGTAATTAGAGACTCAGTAAAATTAGGAAGCTATAAGTGGCAATCAGGCATGGAAGCATGGTCAGACATCTTGGTTAAGAATTGAAGTCAGTTATATAAAGTTGAAATATTTAAAATTACAAATATCAAATTCAAAGGGACAACTACATAAAGAGATATGCAAATATGAAGGGATTACTAATGGACTTTATAAGAGATCTAGAAAATAATTGCCAAGCATATTGCTCAGAATTTTAGAAAAGTATATGCCATGTGAAAACAATTCCATCTGAAGCCTAGACTCAAGGTATATGCACATAAAATTCTTGTTCATTACAAAGGGAAAAAGCATGACTTCGAAGTGGAGAAATCTGGCAGACACCATCTTAACCAAGTGATTAAAGTTAGCACCGACAGTAATGGAACAAATTGACATCCTTGCCTTCTTATAACAATCTGATTCTAATTTTGAGGAAGTCACAGAAAATTTTAAATCGAGGGACATTCTACAAAGTACCTGACCTTCATTCTTCAGAATGTCAAACTCATGAACACACAGAGATTGATAAACTACTCCAGATTAATGGAGAATAAAAGGACATGACAGTTAAATGCAATGTGAGATTGTTGTACTGAATTTTAAATATGTAGATTTAGACATAGACAAAGATACAGATATAGAATAGATACAGATTTTAATGATGACATAATTATGATATAGGAGATAAGAAACTACATAAGCAGGGTATGGGAGTCCTTGATAAAGTTTCTCTTTTTAATGTAAAGCAGCCCTGAAATCATTTTCTAACAAAGAGCAGCCTATAAAATTGAGCTGCAGACATAGACAAGCAAGCTGGAAGCTTGTACAGGTGAATGCAGATGGGAGAAAGCTACCTGGGACCAGGCACGTTCAAAATGGTGGCTCCATCTTTGCTTCTGTTTGCCAGCCATGTGTACAGTAAAAAGCAAACAAGACGCCCTGGTCAAGTGTAAAGTCCATTTGCATAACAAGATTAAGGTGACGTAGCCAGCCTTCCCCCCGGCATTATGCAAATGTCACACCTGTGGGCCCTATGTAAATCAGACACCACTTCCCCAAGCCTGCCTATAAAATCCAGTGAACTCTGATGCTGGCTGGTCCCTCCTTTCGGAAGGCCCTGTTTCTTACTAGAGAGAGCTCTATTTTCTTTTCTCTTTCCTTTGCCTATTAAACCTCTGCTCCTGAACTCCTGGTGTGTGTCCGTGTCCTAAATCTTCTTTGTGGGAGACAGTGAATCCTGGATATTTACCCCAGACAGTGACACCACTTCAATTGTAAAGGTATTGTTGGAACGGTATTAAATTTTACAGCTTATCTGGATGATATACTGATACTTAGAACAATATGAATATTATTTTATTTATTTTTATATTTTTGCTTTAAATTCAATTCAATTTTATGATATTAATAACTTTAAATTCGAATTTTGGATTGGTGCTTAACTTTTGAGTGGGTGTCTCCTCCAATTCTGGATGCTTCCAAATAGGAAATACATATTTATCGTATCCTTCCCAGTAAAAAATAGTTGCATAGTATTTTTCCACTAATATTCATTCAGAATTGACAGTTTTGTGCTCTGATGTCCACTGCCTAAAAACATTTTTTCCCATATTATATTTATTTTCTGTATGCATGCTTGAAGACCTACTGCAGCACTTACGGTATTATTTAATTGTCATGCTAGATGTTGGGGTAACTATTTTATTTTATCATCTTTTGTCATAATATTTTAGAGGCAGGGTCTTGCTCTGTCACCCAGGCTGGAGTGTAGTGTCATGATCATGGCTCAGTGAGTGCAGCCTCAACCTCCTGGGCTCAAAGGATCCTCCCACCTCAGCCTCCTGAGTAGCAAGGATTACAGGTGTGCAGCACCATAACCAGATAATGTTTTTATTTTTTTATTTTGTAGAAATGGGGGTCTCTCCAGGTTGCTCAGGTTTGTCTCAAACTCATGGCCTCAAGTGATCCTTCCACCTTTGCCTCCCAAAACATTGGGATTACAGGCATGAGCCACTGTGTGCCTGGCTTATTTTATTTTAATATTATGACACAACTCTAGATCTTCACCTCAAAAGTTAAGAAATTACTCCAACTCCTGGTAAAAGTAGTGGAATGTAGGTTCTGCAGAAGTTGAAGCAGAGATAAGCCTCAGAGATATCAGGCACCCCACAAAGGGTAGTGGGAATAAGGAATACAAATCAATAGGGTCCTTTAGAGAATACAGACATTATATATTTTGAAACCCTTAATTTTATTTTACAAAATTCAAGTGACAGTCTTACATTCAGCTGGCCAAATATTTTATATGCTTCCCTTCTGGGGAAACTGAATTCTGGAAAAAATTTGTGTTTGAGATCCCTCAAAACCTCTGCATCTTTTCTTGATGAAGTTCAGCTATTGATAAGTTCAGTCTTTGCTCCTAGAATACCCAATAAGCTTCCTCACTCTTAATTATGAACTGAGAGCCTAGTCAGATTATTAGATGTTGTGTGAAATCTGTAATTTGAAAGATGTATTAGTAATTTTAAACCTATATTAGAGTTTTCAGATAAGCATAACCAATAGGATATATGAGAGGGGATTTATTCAGGGGAATTGGCTCACATAATCACAGAGGCAGAGAGGTCCCAGAAAGGCCAAGTGCGAGTTGGATGATCAGAGAATCTGGTATTATGATTCAGTTTGAAAGCCTCAGAACCAGGGAAACTGATGGTGCAGCCCTAAGTCCAAGGCCAAAAGCCCAAGAGCCCTTGGTGCAAGTCCCAGAGTCCAAAAGCTGAAGAATCTGGAGTCTGATGTCTGAGGGCCAGAGGAGGAGAGGCATCTCACTCCTGAAGACAGAGATAACAGAAAGAGAGAAAAAAAATCCCCCTTCTGCCTACTGTTAGTTTTCGCCAGCATCCCCACCCTCCCCCCCCGCCACACACACACACCCCAGCCCCATTAAGGGCATTAAGGGCAGGCCTTCCTCTCTCAGTACATGGACTCACATGTTAATCTCCTCTGGAAACACCCTCACAGACACATCCAGAAACAAAGCTTCACCAGCCACCTAAGCCTCTGTTAATCCAGTCAAGTTTGACACCTAAAATTAACTACCACAGTATGGAAAATACAAAACTATTAAGATAATAATAGCAACAAATTTGTTTACAACATAAAAAACATAAATTGTGATATAAGAGACTTAAAATGAGAGGAGTAATAGAGTTTTTAAATTTAATGTGGATAAAGTTAAATTGTTAACACCTTAAAATAGCCTGTTATAAGTATAAAACATTTTAAGTTATTATCATACTAACCAAAAAAGCCAAAACCTATAGTAGACACAAAAAGGATAAAAAGTAAGGAATCAAGGCACACCACTAGAGAAAATCTAATCACAAAGGAAGACAGCAAAAGGTGAAGAAAGGAACAAAGAATCTATTTTAAAAACACACAAAAGAACTCCAGAAAATATTTAACAAAATGGCAGCAGTAAGTACTACCCAGTTTATCAACTGCAAATGAATTAAATGTTCCAATCAAAAGACATAAAGTGGGTGCATAGATAATATACCTTGCCTTCAAGTGAGTCACATCATCATAAAGGACACATGTAGATTGAAAGTATAAGGATGACAGGATATTCCATCCAAATGGGTATCAAACAGAGCAGAGGTAGCTATACTTACATAAGATAGACTTTAAGTCAAAACTGTAAAAATAGACAAAGAAAGTTATTATATAGTGATAAAGGGGTTAATCAATCAAGAAGATATAACAATTGCAAATATATATGAATGTAACATCAGCATACCAAATATATAAAGCAAATACTTTATCTGAAAAGAGAGATAGTGATAAAGTAATAGTAGGGGATTTCAATACTCCACATTCAACTATGAACTGATGTATTAGTAATCATCCAGCAGTCAATCAACAAGGATTGGACTTGAACTACACTTTAGACCAGATGGACCTAACAGACACATCCCAAACATTCCATCCAATAGCAGCAGAAGATATGTTCCTCTCAAGTGCACATAAAACATTATTCAGCATAGACCAAATGTTAGGCCACAATGTGATTTTTAACAAGTTTAAGATGAATGAAATCATATCAAGTATCTTTTCTGACTACATGGTATGAAACTAGATAACAATAATAGTGGAATTTCAGAAAACTTCACAAATATGTTGAAATTAACATGCTTATAAACAACTAATGGTTCAAAGAAGAAATTAAAAAGGAAATGAAAAAACATGTTGATTCAAACAAGCATGAAAACACAACATATTGACACTTATGAGATGCAGTCATGCAGTTCTAATAAGAAAATTTACAGCACCAATGCCTACATGAAAAATAAAGATTTTTTTTTTTTTTTTTGAGACGGTGCTTTACTCTTGTTGCTTAGGCTGAAGTGCAATGGCACTATCTTGGCTCACTGCAACCTCCGCCTCCCAAGTTCAAGTGATTCTCCTGCCTCAGCCTCCCCAGTAGCTGGGATTACGGGCATGCACCACCACGCTTGGGTAATTGTTTTTGGGGTTTTTTTTTGTATTTAGTAGAGATGGGGTTTCACCATATTAGTCAGGCTGGACTCGAACTCCTGACCTCAAGTGATCCACACACCTCGGCCTCCCAAAGTGCTGGGATTACAGGTGTGCACGACCGTGCCGGGCCCAAGAAAGATCTTAATAAAACCTAACATTATGCTCAAGAACCTAGAGAAAAAAGAGCAAACTAAGCCAAAAATTAGTAGGAGAAAGGAAATAACAAAGAAAAAAGCAGAGAAAAATAAAAATGAAGTCCAGAAAGACAATAGAAAATAGCAACAAAACTAAGTCCCCTTTTTAAAAATCATAAACAATAACAGCAACAACAAAAACACCCAGTCACTGGTGGCTTCATGGGTAAATTCTATCAAATCTTTAAAGAATAACTAATGCCAGTTCTCCCTTACACATTTCAAAAATATTGAAGATGAAGGAACACTTCTAAAATCATGTTATGAGGCCAGTATTACTCTGATACTGAATCCTGACAAGGATACTGCAAGAAAAGAAAAATTACAGGCCCGTGTTCCAGATAAACACAGATGCAAAAATCTTCAATGAAATACTAGCAAATCAAATTCAACAGCACATTAAAAAGATCATTCATCATAATAAATCTGGATTTTTCCTTCAGATGCAAGTGGGTTTAGAATATGCAAATCAATAACTGTGATCTACTACATTAACAGAATGAAGGACCAAACCATAGAATATTTCAATAGATTCTGAAAAGGCATTTAATACAATTCCTTTCATAATGAAAATTCTAAACAAATTAGGTACAGAATCATAAAGCCATAAATCACAAGCCCACTGCTAACATCATTTGCAAGAATGAAAAGTTTAAACATTTCCTCTAAGATCAGGAACAAGACAAGGATGGACACTCTCAATACTTTTATTCAACAGGGCATTTTATGCACAGCATGAGGACCATAACAAATAATATTTTATCGTAAACTAAAAAATTGCTGAGAGCAGATTTTAGGTGTTCTTACTAAATACACACAAAAGGCAATTATGTGAGGTGATGGATATGTTAGATTGCCTGACTGTATTATTATTTCACTATCTACATTCATATCAAAACATATTATACACTTTAAATATATACAATAAAATAAATAGATAATAAGACAAAAAGTTCAAGTCGGATCATTCTACTCCTCTACTCAAAACCATCCAGATTTTTCTCTCACTCACAGTAAACAAACTACTTCCCATGACCTGCAGTGTCTGCCTGATCCTGCTCTCCATTTTTTCTGTAACACATCTCCTAGTCTTTTTTTTTTAAATCTGCTCCCCTGGGGCTGTGCTAAACTCTGAACCTCACCTGTTATACCCCCACCTGTGTTCTTCATGATATTACTCGCATCGCAATCTCCTGGGATAGCTCTTTCCTCTGCTCCTCACACACCCTCTCTCTAAGCACAACATGGAGAAGCTGGTGTTTTGAGAAAGTGACTTCCCACACACCTTTGGAATTTGACTCACTGCATTGTTTTCACTGAAGTTTGCCAACAGAAAGATCTGGCCTTTAGTAAGCACTCTATAAATGAATAAAGAAGCATTGAAAACAAGCCTCAGAAGACATCTGGAATCTTCGTGCGCCAGATTGGAGGTATAGAGTAAGTCATTTTTTAAAAGAAAACTCATTATATTTTTTATTTTTAAAAATTTTTTATTTTTAACTTTTGTGGGTACATAGAGATGTGTATATTTATGGGGTACCTGTGATGTTTTGATTCAGATATAAGATGTGTAAAAATTATATTAGGGTAATTGGGGCATTCATCACCTCAAGCATTTATAATTTGTGTTAGGAACATTCCAATTCCATTCTCTTATTTTTAATTATACAATAAATTACTGTTGATTGTAGTCACCTCGTTGTGTATCAAATACTAAATCTTATTCACATTTTAAATGATATTTTTGCACCCATTAACTATTGCTACTTTCCTCCAAACTCCTTACTACCCTCTCAGTCTCTGGGAAACACCATTCTACTCTCTATCTTCATGAATTCAATTGCTTTGATTTTTAGCTCCCAATTAGAGTGAGAACATGCAAAATTTGTCCTTCTGAGCCTGGCTTATTTTACTTAACATAATGCCCTCTAGTTCTATCCATGTTGTTGCAAATGACAGGATTTCATTTGTTTTTGTGGGTAAATAATACTCCATTGTGCATATGCACAACATTTTTAAAATCTACTCATCTGTTAGCTATTCTGAACAGTGAATAAAAATGCAAGTGCAAATACCTCTCTGATATACTGATTTCCTTTCATTCAGTTATATACCTAGCAATGGGATTGCTGGATCATATGGTAGTTTTATTTTTAGTTTATGGAGGCACCTCCATACTGTTGTCCATAGTGGCTGTTCTAATTTACATTCCCTCCAACAGTGTACAATTCCCTTTTCTCTACATCCTCCCCAGCATTTGTTATTGCCTGTCTTTTGGATAAAATCCATTTTAATTGGGGTAAGATCATTATATCATTATAGTTTTTACTTGCATTTCTCTGATGATAAAAATCACATTTCATATTTTAAAAATTTTGGGGTTAAAATTTGTCTGGATTTGGGAACAATTAAAATTCTTATTTTACAAATAATAGAAACTAATAAAACCTAAAGATATATTTTTTCTCTGATGCTCAAATTATTCAAAGTAGCAGTATTAGCTTTTCCTGTGAGTGAACTTCACACACAGAAATGGGATAAAATACTACTTTTTATCTTTTTAATTTTAAGTATTCCACAATAGGATTATAATTTTTAATACTTTTGGCACATTATAGTATCTTCGTTGAGGAGTATGTATTATGAATATCAGATGTTGTAACTCTTAGTGATATATTTTTGGATTTACCACACTAAGCTGAAAGTGTATTAAATGTTAAATGAAATCACAAAATTAATGAGAGGTAACTAGAAATAAATGAAACAAGAAACTTAAGACTAATCTTAAAAAAAAAATGTGAAGTACTTCTTAAAAAGGCATGCTATACTTTCCAGCTTCTAAACGATTATGAAGAAAGCTCAGTCAGACAGAATCATCAATACCACTGTCTTTGAGTCAATTTTCCCTTACCATTTTGTTTCCCTCATACTAGAAGAAAGAGACACGTATGGACATCTGTCTTAGTAATCATATGCTTTTTTACTCAACCACTCGGGGACTATTAGTGATGCTGTAAGATGAAGTCACAATATTTTAACAAGAACAGCCACAGAGATTAATCAAATCGAACATCATTAAAATGATTTTTTAAAAACCACTCAAAATATTTTTACTTCTTTTTCTGGAATAAATCCTAACATTTATTTTTAACTGTTCATTCAAATGTCTGGGTTTTTTTTCTAACAGATTAAAATTAGTTTATATCACTTCTCTCCTAAATTCAGCAAACAACATTTACACTGTGATTTTTCTTTATCTATCACTCCTGAGAGAGAACAGGCACAATATTTAAAAGAAAGAACCAAAGAAGAGAGTGCAGGAGGAAAATTGTCAAGTACAGTTTTAATATTTTACTAAATTTACATTAAGGTCAATGTATACAATCTGTAGAATTAGAAAGCCCCCACATGTCACTGCAATACGAATGAATAACCACAGTTTTCCATCAGAGTAAGACCATCTGAATTTTGTTCAAATTATGTGGCGATCCTTCTCCCCTGCCCCATAATTTGCAATACTTTTTTGGAAGGGATAGAGGGGAACAGAGAAAGCAGTGGACATAAAAACATTAAGATTGTGATATGCAAGGTCACGCATTGTCGTTGTACAACTTGGCTATGATGAAAGAGAAAAAAGCTTGAAAGAGAAAACATAGTTTAACTTATTAAATATGAGAAAAAAGTCAAAGTGGCAGATGGGGGATTAAAAAAGAAAAGTGAGTAATTCAGTTAATATAAGGCTAACAAAATATTTATTTATTTGTTTGTTTTGAGACAGAGCCTCGCTCTGTTGCCCAGGCAGGAGTTCAATAGTGTGATCTCGGCTCACTGCAGCCTCCGCCTCCCAGGTTCAAGTGATTCACCCTGCCTCAGCCTCCCAAGTAGCAGGGATTATAGGTGCCCGCCACCACACCCAGCTAATTTTTTGTATTTTTAGCAGAGATGGGGTCTCGCCATGTTGTCCTGGCTGGTCTTGAACTCCTGACGTCAGGCGATCCACCTGCCTGGGCCTCTCAAAGTGCTGGGATTACAGGCGTGAGCCACCGCACCCGGCCAGCTCATATATTATAGGATCTGTTGCCTACAGTAACCATGTGTGTGTCCTATGAAACTATAGGCACAAGATTGCAAATTATGGTGTTAAAAAAGCACCATTAGTTCAATCTCTTATTAAAATTTCAAATGTGAGAATACCTGCAAACAAAGTTTTTTAGAGAGTAAGTAGGTTAAAGACTTTGTAGAATAGCTTGAGGGAGGTCTGTAATAGTTAAGTTTTGTTTTTAGAATTGTTAATTGTTCAAATTCTTGGAAGGTGTGTTGAAACTGAGGTCCTGTTAGTCATGGGACAAGATGTAGGAAGAGCAAGACTATGGTACAATGTAGTAGCCATTGGTTTGTTGGTTTGAGTTTTCAAGAGAGATGGGCAGGAAAACTTTGTTTTTAAGTTTTGATAACATCCGTAGAAAATTTTTAATCTTTCAGTATATTTCATAAGATATATTTGGATAATATTATAACTGCATTTATGTGAACTAAATTGCCTCAATAACATGAAATTAATCAGGAAATGCTTGGTGATCAATGCACTAAAAAAGAACTAGATGAAAGTATTTTTTGTGGCAAATTGGCATGGAATTACCATACGTGTGGTACGTGTGTGTGTTTCAGTATGCTAAATAATATATGTGTTATATATATTTAATATTTAAAGAGTGGACATTGATATTTTACTTCAGTCTTCTCCTTTTCCTGCAGATTACTCCTGCAATAATGGCAAATCTCACAATCGTGACTGAATTTATCCTTATGGGGTTTTCTACCAATAAAAATATGTGCATTTTGCATTCGATTCTCTTCTTGTTGATTTATTTGTGTGCCCTGATGGGGAATGTCCTCATTATCATGATCACAACTTTGGACCATCATCTCCACACCCCCGTGTATTTCTTCTTGAAGAATCTATCTTTCTTGGATCTCTGCCTTATTTCAGTCACGGCTCCCAAATCTATCGCCAATTCTTTGATACACAACAACTCCATTTCATTCCTTGGCTGTGTTTCCCAGGTCTTTTTGTTGCTTTCTTCAGCATCTGCAGAGCTGCTCCTCCTCACGGTGATGTCCTTTGACCGCTATACTGCTATATGTCACCCTCTGCACTATGATGTCATCATGGACAGGAGCACCTGTGTCCAAAGAGCCACTGTGTCTTGGCTGTATGGGGGTCTGATTGCTGTGATGCACACAGCTGGCACCTTCTCCTTATCCTACTGTGGGTCCAACATGGTCCATCAGTTCTTCTGTGACATTCCCCAGTTATTAGCTATTTCTTGCTCAGAAAATTTAATAAGAGAAATTGCACTCATCCTTATTAATGTAGTTTTGGATTTCTGCTGTTTTATTGTCATCATCATTACCTATGTCCACGTCTTCTCTACAGTCAAGAAGATCCCTTCCACAGAAGGCCAGTCAAAAGCCTACTCTATTTGCCTTCCACACTTGCTGGTTGTGTTATTTCTTTCCACTGGATTCATTGCTTATCTGAAGCCAGCTTCAGAGTCTCCTTCTATTTTGGATGCTGTAATTTCTGTGTTCTACACTATGCTGCCCCCAACCTTTAATCCCATTATATACAGTTTGAGAAACAAGGCCATAAAGGTGGCTCTGGGGATGTTGATAAAGGGAAAGCTCACCAAAAAGTAAAAGCTGTTGCTTTTCTTCTTTCAATAATAGATACCATTTATAATGTACACACATTAATTCTTCATTTTTATCTCTAATTCTTAAAAGTAAAAATTTAAAAAGACAAATGAAAGCAATTATTTTATTAGAAAATTTCCTTGGGCAATTAATTACATTTTTCTATTCTTAAGTAAAATTCTGAATTTTTACAATATGGAGCCATTTCCCAAACCCCTTCTTGGGTGGTGTACATAAGCTGATTTCTAGTTATCTTTAATATGATGTAAGAAAGAATGTTTGTTTAGAACTTACTATCTCACTTAAAAACTCTTATTGAAGAAGCAGCAGCAGTAATACAAAACCCAAACCTCTACTCTCTTATGACCTAATCAATCTGAACAAAAAAGTCTTATAGAATTCTTTGACAAATTATCCATATTTATTCCTTGTATTGACTTGACTATTTAAATGTCACTGAGAAGAATAAAATGAAAAAAGTGGTCTTACTCAAAAATTAATTTGAATGGGACGTTTTCTTTTCTTCTATATGGTCATTTTGCATTTTTGGTAAAAGGTCAAATAGAAAATGCATATTAATTGAATTTTGCCAGAGAAAGATATCAGCACTCAAAGAAATAAAGGAACTGTCATTGAAGGCAGATGTCAAAATAATTATTAATTTGTATTGATGTTTTATTAACCCTAACATGGCTTTCCTAATGCTCTAGTTACAAAACAAATCAGTATATAAATAGTTTTAAAAGGTTCCCATGTATACATTTTAAATGTGTATATTTAAATACATATTTAAATATATATATATATTATATATAGGCTTTGACTATTTTAGATATTCATTTTAATTATAGTTATTTTGAGGTTTCCCCTTAGTCTTTATTATGGTATTTGGAAGCCCAGTATTAGATTTTCTGCTAGATGGACTTCCTTCTAGTTATCTCATACATTGCTCAATCTTTCTTCTACTAATAGATATTTTTTCTTCTATCATGTAATCTATTAAGTGAAATAAACTTGGAAGAATATGTGAATTATTTTTCTCTGCAGCATCTGTACTACAAATTTCCAGTTTCTTAAATTACTCTTTGTGAAATGTAGAGCTGTGTACTGACAATGGTATTTTTCTCAGGCAAGTCTTTGGAGCACATAATTATGTCTTCAAATATTTCATAATATATTAGGTCTATGAAAATATTTAAAATTATGTGTGTGTGTGTATGTCTATGTGTATGTTTTCAACAAAGACTGAGTCCATTCAATTTTTATAATTATATTTGTATATTAACTGCATGGGGTGCTTTTTTCAATAAAAATGTGACACAGGGATTGCTTCCATTTATTATTTGTTCAGCATGCAGAGAAATGTGCTAATTTACCTTTTAAGTCAATCATCTATTCATGTATTTTGCTTATTTATCTACTCCATCGTAACATTTGTGTTTAACTTGAATGTGCTTTTGTAAAGTTATAGACACTAACACCTACTACATGTAAATACTTTTCATCTCCAGTTTTCTCTTTAATTATACTGATATTATTTTTTATTTAATGCAAGCTTTTAATAATTATGGAATTAAATTTGTGAAATTGTTTCCTTGTGATTTTTTATTGCTTCAAATAGATAATGTCATTAATTCATCAAATTCAATACATATTTTTATGTTATTTTTATTTGACATAGATGGACACATGTACACTGAGGTCAAAATGACACAGATTTCGTTTTCCCAGAAGACACAAAGAAAAGCAGAAAATGTCTTCTTGAATGTTAAAAAACATTTATTAACCAAGTCCCTTCTTATTATAATGAATTAACACAAATGACAAATTGCCTCTTTCAGAGTAAAAAGTGAACATAATAATATGTTTAGTTATGACACAATGGCCCATAAAACCCAGTGAGCAGTTAGTATAAGACAAAACCATTTGCTGCTTCATTCTTAATCACCTCAGCTAAACCAGTTCCCAAACAGGGAATTTCAACACTCAGTGCGTTTTTTGCTTTGTAGGCAATGTCACCACTGTTCTGACTTCACTTTGACAGAGCAAGTGACAATATCCACGTGTTGCCAATCTTTTAAAATAGGCATTCACAGGATTGTTACAAGGATTACATCATTAATGCATGTGCCAATAATGAGTCTTCAGCAAAAGTTGATAACCATTAGTTAACTCATTTGCATTGAGAATTCACTACTGGCCTGTTGCCATGGTTGACACCACTATTTATACTGAATATACTTATGAAGATTCTATATAGGAGGCTCTGTGTGACATGAACTGATGATCTTCAAACATGATTTTCTCAAAAGAAAACAAACTAACAAGGATTAAATGCAACTGAATAACTTTTGTGCATTAAGCTTTGTCCTATATAATCAGAGCAGTGCAGCACCGGGTACTGGCTGAGGGATTTTCTTCACCATGATCCCATAAGCAGAGCATAATCAAAACAGTGTGAGTTCTTTCATTACTCCGATTCTAAATATCTCAATTACTTATACAAACTGGGAACTGACTATGTATTTCGATTGCTATGAGGTCAAACCAATACTAGTGAACAACTTCCCTCTATTTTTGTCTTTGTAAAGTAGAAAAGTAAAACAAAATCTGCTTCGTTGGCTTGAATGCAATAAGGAATGTGTAGTTTATGCAATTAAATAAATCAGAAAAATAAAGAATGATAATTTGGAGAAAATCTAAGTTACCGTTTACCTCTGCAACTATATTTTCTTATACGTGTATGTTGTCAATCCATGATCTAAATTAGGTGACAAAATAACTAAATTTGAACAGACAATCCTAACTTTATAACTTATTTAAAAAGATAAAGATAAAATTGAAAATTTCTTTTTTATTTCAGGCACACAAACTTCTTCTTATAAGCTCTGGATACCTGTTCATTGACATCACTGAAAAATAAAGTGGTTTTCTCAAAGCAACAGAGTCTCCTTTCAGATTTTAACTATGAAAATGGTTAAGAAAATGTGGCACATATACACCATGGAATACTATGCAGCCATAAAAAATGATGAGTTCATGTCCTTTGTAGGGACATGGATGAAATTGGAAATCATCACTCTCAGTAAACTATCGCAAGAACAAAACACCAAACACCACATATTCTCACTCATAGGTGGGAATTGAACAATGAGAACACATGGACACAGGAAGGGGAACATCACACTCTGGGGACTGTTGTGAGGTCGGGGGAGGGGGGAAGGATAGCACTGAGAGATATACCTAATGCTAGATGACAAGTTAGTGGGTGTAGCACACCAACATGGCACACGTATACATATGTAACTAACCTGCACATTGTGCACATGTACCCTAAAACTTAAAGTATAATAATAATAAATAAATAAAATAAAATTAAATTTAAAAAAAGAAAATGGTTGGGAGTAGAGTGGAAACACCAACAATTTATACTAACATATTTATGCCAACACATGTTATAATCAAGATCTCAAAAACTTTTATGTAGTGATGTATAAAGTATGAATATAAGATGATGTTAAAATAATAGAATTAAAATTTAAAAGCATATCCACCATGATCAAGTGGGCTTCATCCCTGGGATGCAAGGCTGGTTCAATATACGCAAATCAATAAATGTAAACTAGGATATAAACAGAACCAAAGACAAAAACCACATGATTATCTCAATAGATGCAGAAAAGGCCTTTGACAAAATTCAACAACCTTCATGCTAAAAACTCTCAATAAATTAGGTATTGATGGGACGTATCTCAAAACAATAAGAGCTATCTATGACAAACCCACAGCCAATATCATACTGAATGGGCAAAAACTGGAAGCATTCCCTTTGAAAACTGGCACAAGACAGGGATGCCCTCTCTCACCACTCCTATTCAACATAGTGTTGGAAGTTCTGGCCAGGGCAATTAGGCAGGAGAAGGAAATAAAGGGTATTCAATTACGAAAAGAGGAAGTCAAATTGTCCCTGTTTGCAGATGACATGATTGTATATCTAGAAAACCCCATTGTCTCAGCCCAAAATCTCCTTAAGCTGATAAGCAACTTCAGCAAAGTCTCAGGATACAAAATCAATGTACAAAAATCACAAGCATTCTTATACACCAATAACAGACAAACAGAGAGCCAAATCATGAGTGAACTCCCACTCACAATTGCTTCAAAGAGAATAAAATACTTAGGAATCCAACTTACAAGGGACGTGAAGGACCTCTTCAAGGAGAACTACAAACCACTGCTCAATGAAATAAAAGAGGATACAAAGAAATGGAAGAACATTCCATGCTCATGGGTAGGAAGAATCAATATCGTGAAAATGGCCATACTGCCCAAGGTAATTCATAGATTCAATGCCATCCCCATCAAGCTACCAATGACTTTCTTCACAGAATTGGAAAAAACTACTTTAAAGTTCATGTGCAACCAAAAAAGAGCCTGCATCGCCAAGTCAATCCTAAGCCAAAAGAACAAAGCTGGAGGCATCATGCTACCTGACTTTAAACTATACTACAAGGCTACAGTAACCAAAACAGCATGGTACTGGTACCAAAACAGAGAGATAGATCAATGGAACAGAACAGAGCCCTCAGAAATAACGCTGCATATCTACACCTATCTGATCTTTGACAAACCTGAGAAAAACAAGCAATGGGGAGAGGATTCCCTATTTAACAAATGGTGCTGGGAAAACTCGCTAGCCATATGTAGAAAGCTGAAACTGGATCCTTTCCTTACACCTTATACAAAAATTAACTCAAGATGGATTAAAGATTTAAACGTTAGACCTAAAACCATAAAAACCCTAGAAGAAAACCTAGGTATTACCATTCAGGACATAGGCATGGGCAAGGACTTCATGTCTAAAACACCAAAAGCAATGGCAACAAAAGCCAAAATTGACAAATGAGATCTAATTAAACTAAAGAGCTTCTGCACAGCAAAAGAAACTACCATCAGAGTGAACAGGCAACCTACAAAATGGGAGAAAATTTTCGCAACCTACTCATCTGACAAATGGCTAATATCCAGAATCTACAATGAACTCAAACAAATTTACAAGAAAAAAACAAACAACCCCATCAAAAAGTGGGCGAAGGACATGAACAGACACTTCTCAAAAGAAGACATTTATGCAGCCAAAAGACACATGAAAAAATGCTCACCATCACTGGCCATCAGAGAAATGCAAATCAAAACCACAATGAGATACCATCTCACACCAGTTAGAATGGCAATCATTAAAAAGTCAGGAAACAACAGGTGCTGGAGAGGATGTGGAGAAATAGGAACACTTTTACACTGTTGGTGGGACTGTAAACTAGTTCAACCATTGTGGAAGTCAGTGTGGCGATTCCTCAGGGATCTAGAACTAGAAATACCATTTGACCCAGCCATCCCATTACTGGGTGTATACCCAAAGGACTATAAATCATGCTGCTATGAAGACACATGCACACATATGTTTACTGTGGCACTATTCACAATAGCAAAGACTTGGAACCAACCCAAATGTCCAACAATGATAGACTGGATTAAGAAAATGTGGCACATATACACCATGGAATACTATGCAGCCATAAAAAATGATGAGTTCATGTCCTTTGTAGGGACATGGATGAAATTGGAAATCATCATTCTCAGCAAACTATTGCAAGAACAAAAAACCAAACACCGCATATTCTCACTCATAGGTGGGAATTGAACAATGAGAACACTTGGACACAGGAAGGGGAACATCACACTCTGGGGACTGTTGTGGGGTGGGGGGAGGGGGGAGGGATAGCATTAGGAGATATACCTAATGCTAAATGACGAGTTAATGGGTGCAGCACACCAGCATGGCACATGTATACATATGTAACTAACCTGCACATTGTGCACATGTACCCTAAGACTTAAAGTATAATAATAATAAAATAAAAAACAAAAACAAAACAAAACAAAAAAAATTCACACATTTATAACATCAGCTTAAAACTAACATTAGGATACATATCATTACTTCACAGATCCATTGAACCAGGCGCACAACATTCCTCATTTTCACTATGTCTAGGATAATGAGAACTGGACGCTGTGGCAAGTTGGGCATGTTCATCTAGGATGATGGATCTTAGAGTGGTAGATGTTTCAACAAAAGCAGCAGAGAGTGGTATAGCCCCTTGGAATAAAATTCAAAACAACTGGTCAACTTTTAGGGGAAGGGGAGAATGTGATCTAGAGCTGGTAGAGAAACAGCAAGGTGGACCTTGCCCTGCTCCAGACTGAGTGATGTAAGAGAACAAAAGAGAAATCAGTGTCCACCTATGTGGCAGGTGGAGTTCTCTGGACACAGACACTGAAAGTGATTTGAATGCACTTTAGGAATGTGGGGAAAAGTGAAAGAAAGGAGGATTGCACAGAAAGAGGATTCAGGATACTTCACCCTGATCAGGGCTGGGGAGCAAGCTTTGCCCACCCCAGTTATTCCTCCACCTCTAAATCCCTCATTCACCAGTGGGCTGTCCCTGAGGGACATGACCTCCTTCCTTAAAGAGTCCCTGAAGATGCTGACAGCCTCAACCTGTCTGAGGACCTCACTGCAGCTGGGCAGTGAGTCCTTCTTCCAGGGCGTGTCTATCACCATCGTGAGAGGGCTGCCGGGAAGCATGCAGGCACCATGTTTCCAGAGGAGCAAAGATACTGAAGATCTATGGGAAACATGCAATTACCATAAGTTACAGAGGCCATGGGAGACAATATTGAGCACTTGGGGAGAGTAATAAATGGGTATAAAAGTGAATATGCAGAGCTACATATATAGATTTGGAGATTTACAAGGCTATGTGTTGTGATCAGCTTCTAAAAGCAGATGGTCCTGGAGGGAGGGAGTGGCCTTCCAAAGCAGGCAGGTCTCTGGGGACCCATTTCCATTTACCTTCACCCACCAGGGATAGAAAGAGGCAAGATGTTCATAACACAAAGTTCCTCAGGAATCCTGCCCACCTCCAGGACATGAGATTCTTGACTGCTCTCTGTCTCTCCTCTTTCTCATACCACATCAGCAAACCTTGGTGGCTTGGAATTCAACACAAATGTAGAATCTGACACTCAATGAACACTTCCCCAGCTACCAATATTTAAAACCTAAGCCAGGTAATGCATGTCTCTATTTTCAGCCAAATTATTTCCAATTTACAACAAGGGCCCACAAGTTCTGACTGTCCCTCAAATACCTCTTAGGTGCAATCTTTATATTTTTTGGACACTTCTTTGTCATCCCGTTGTCCTTTGAAGGAAGCTGTAATGAACATCCTCATATATAGTGACATGCAGTGGCTTTCGCTTCAGTATGATAAATTCCCAGGAATGAGATTAGTGGGTCTAGGGTAACAGGTAGTTGTGTTGTCAATAGCCTGTTTAGCAAAACAAAATGAAACCAAATAAAAACCCATCATTTTGTTTAAATACCAAAAGTATGTATTGGGCCCTTTTTGCCACTTCTCAGGTGAGAATTAGTAACAGTGAGTCTTTGACTGTTGACAGCTTCCTAGACATAAACATTATCATTGGTATTTAATTTTGATTTGCTGTGTACTGGATTTATTTCTCTGTGAATTTTATGCTCCTTTGAATGTTGATTATGTCTCTATTTCATATGGCGTTTATACTTACTTTGCTTTCAATTTCTAAGGAATCCTCATCTAGCATAGACATTAACACTTTCTGTCTTATAGATTCCAAACCACTTTCTTCAAGCTCTTAAATGTTACTTAATTTATGTCATTTTTAGCTTACATTTTTAATCCACTTAAGATCAGTTATTTTGTGACATGAGATACTTTTTCCCTTCAGATAGACAACAATTTTCCTGTATTAAGTAATTATAATCTGCCTTTGTCCAGTGAACTGATGAATAATTTTTTCTATAATAAATCAACATATATACTAATATCAATTTTTGAGTTTTATATTGTTTTACTAATAATTTTTAAAATTTCTTTTAATAATTTGATTTTTTAAAAAATATAATTTGTCTGGTAAAATAATTCCTTTTTAAAGTGCTGCAATTTTGGATACATTCCCTGTATATTCTTGTGTATTCTTCTACATAAAATTAGAATACATTTTCATTAATTCCTGCTAAAGAAAGATGTGTTAAGATTCAGAGTGGAAACTTCTGAATGTGGAGGGAGTAAGATGGTTCAGATTTAGCCAGATTACATATACAAGCACAATTGATATTTAAAATTTCTTTAATTTTTAAAATTAGGCTTTATTTTAAAGATAGTAATACAAATCTTATATAATATTTGCAATAGTTTAGCACAATTTTTATTTTTATTAAATTTTTAAATTTTTGAAATTTTAATCTTATTTTTATAGATCTTCAATTTGTGATGGATTTATAGAGGATATAATCCCATCATAAGGCAAGGAGCATCTGTGTATATATAATAACCTATGATATGAAATCATATATTTGGAAAGTATACTTCTGATAAGGTGTTAAAATGCCAAATATATAAGGAACTGAACTCAAAAGCAGGAAATAGATATACTGATTAAAAAATGGGAAAGGATGGAAATAGTCATCTCTCAAAAGAAGACGGAGAAGTGTCTAACAGGTGTAAGAAAAATGCTAAACATCATTAATCATCAGGGAAATACAAACTAATATCACAATGACACGTCACCTCACTCCATTAGAATGGCCATTATCAGAAAGAAGAAAGATAAAAAGTGTTAGCAAGGAGGTGGAGAAAGGGAACCCTTGTTCACTGTTGGCAGTAATGTAAATTAGTTATATATCATAGAAGAAAATACAGAATTTCCTCAAAAAAGTAAAAATAGAGCTACCATGTAATCTAGCAATCCCACTGCTGTGCATGTATCTAAAGGAAATGGAATCAGTAGTATGTCAAAGCTGTATCCGCACTCCAATGAACATTCCAGTATTATTCACCTTACCCAAGAAATGAAATAGACCTAGGATTCCATTAACAGATGAATGGATAAATAATGTGTGTGTACATATATTAATGTATATACACATACATACATTTGTGTACATGTGTATATGTGTGTATTGCACAAATATACATGTGTATATATACAAATATATGTGTGCATATATATGTATACAAATATACATATATACATATATATTTACAAAATGGGATACTATTCAGCCAGAAAAAAGAGAAGGATACCCCATCATTTATGACAACATGGATGAATCTGAAGAACATTATGTTAGGTGAAATAAGCCAGGCACAGAATAAGAAATAAAAGATTTTCTCATTTATACGTGGAATAAAATATAGTTTACCTCACTGAAGCAAAAAGTAGAATAGCAATTGCCAGTGAGTTGGAGAGATATTGGTCAAAGGATATAAAATTTTAGTTAGACAGGAAAAATAAACTTAAGAGATCTATTAACATGGTGACTATAGTTAACAACAATGTATATTTCAAAATTTTGAACAGAGTAGATTTTGTGTTTATACCATAAAAAGTGAAAATTATGTGAGGTAATGCACATATTAGACTGGTTTAGCCATTCTACAATGTTCACTATTTTAAACATCATGTTTTACACCATAAATATTTACAATTTGTATTTGTCAGCAGTGGAAAATAAACAATAATAAGACTTAAGTAACAGAGTAAACTCTTAGCACTGATATCTGTAGAACACACCGGCTAATGCAGCAGAATATAAATTATTTTCACTTGAAAATAGGAACACTTTTACACTATTGGTGGGAGTGTAAATCAGTTCACCATTGTGGAAGACAGTGTGGCAATTCCCCAAGGATCTAGAACCAGAAATACCATTTGATCCAGCAATCCCATTACTGGTATATACCCAAAGGATTATAAATCATTCTACTATAAAGACATATGCACATGTATGTTTATTGCAGCACTATTCACAATAGAAAAGACTCGGGACCAACCCAAATGCCCATCAATGATAGACTGGATAAAGAAAATGTGGCACATATATACCATGGATACTATGCAGCCATAAAAAAGAATGAGTTCATGTCCTTTTCAGGGACTTGGATGAAGCTGGAAACCATCATTCTCAGCAAACTAACACAGGAACAGAAAATCAAACACCGCACTTTCTCACTCATAAGTGGGATTTGAATAAGGAGAACACATGGACACAGGGAGGAAAGCATCACACACTGGGGCCTTTCGGGCAGTGTGGGGCAAGGGGAGGAACAGCATTAGGAGAAATATCTAATGTAGATCACGGGTTGATGTGTGCAGCAAACCACCATGGCACATGTATGCCTATGTAACAAACCTGCACATTCTGCACATGTATCCTAGAACTTAAAGGAAAAAATAAATAAATAAATAAAACTTTAACCTGAACTTTCTGATTCCTTATTTAGACAGCTTTGGACTCAGCTATCTTATTTTTCATGTTTAATTTTTTTAATTTATATTTTCCACCATAATTACAGTCTGTTATCTGAATAAAATATTCAAATATATGGTAGCATTTTGTCACTTACTAGCCTATGTTTTGAGGGTTCATAATACATTACTGAAATGAATTTTTTTATTGTACCAGAAAAGATACTTGTATTAAAGCTGACTCCGTCTTTATTATATTAATAGAGTTGAGATTTTTATATATTTATTGGATATACTGGAATATTGAAATATTCTCAAAAATTTTTATTTGAATGATTAAAATAACATAAAATGGGAAAATATTTTTATACAGTTTATGTTTTTAATTTTTAATTATATTTTATAATATCATTGTGCTTGCACATGAATTTTTTCAGCAGATTTTGAGACTTTCAAAGTGGAATTTTCACATTGATCATTATTTTCCCAGAACGATCAGAATTTCTATTACACATTTGCATAATTTTACATTCAAATCATATGAATATTATATCGAATATATTTGTCTTGGTTGTCTGATACAATTTTAGAAATACCCACATACATGTGTATGTGTGCATATAGATATATATTTAATATATGACTGCTTTAAACTGTTATCACATTATCCTATAACTTTTTTTACCAACTGGATCTGGGATTATTTTAGACACCACAATTCATGTGTGTTAGTGTGGCACTCAGTCTCAAAGAATTTGTACACATAAGTCTCTCTATTATTGAATACTTCCTAAATTCCAACTTTATTAGACAGTTTACCTATAACAAAATATAAGTAAACCAATGCCTAGTTTGTTAAATTACCTTTTACATATCTCCATATCTGTTATGGGTTGATTAATATCCCTCAGTAGAATCATGCATTTACTAGTCTAAATTTACCAAAGAAAATAAGACTAGGCAGTCCAACTCTACAGAAGAAAATATGACTCTATGATTATGAGAAAATATAAAGTGACAATCTATATCTACTAAGAGTCAGATAACCAGTCCCTAGGAAAATTCTAGGTACATGGCCTCTTCTCTATAACATCTCAATAACTGATTGGGTAAATATGTTCTTTCAATGCCCTCTCACTAATAATTGAGACTCTTGATTGTATTCCAGCGTTGGAAATTACTCATTACTAAGTAAAGTTCAGTTTTCATACTCTATTTCCATATATTAAAGAGTGCCAAGATGTCTCTTATAATTGGGGGGAACAGATTAAATAAACCAATTTCAACAGTGGAATTATTTCCCTTTAGAATATGTCAGAGTTCCAGCCTTTGGGAGATGGGCAACAGACATAAAATCATTGTCATTCTCATTCCATTTTCTCTTATCAGCAACTGTTTGCCAAATCCAAGATATCAAGAAAGAAAGTGCCTCTTACGAAAGAATTTTATCAATATTTAGCTCAGAGTTAGCATTGTCCATCCAACTGATGACCGGTAATAATTTCCTCAACAACTACATCAAAGGCTTGTTGACCCCTTCCATTTTTTACAAGGCAGACACTTTAATAAGTTTTAATTTTTTTATTATTATTATACTTTAAGTTTTAGGGTACATGTGCACAATATGCAGGTTAGTTACATATGTATACACGTGCCGTGCTGGTGTGCGGCACCCATTAACTCGTCATTTAGAATTAGGTATATCTCCTAATGCTATCCCTCCCCCCTCCCCCCACCCCACAACAGTCCCCAGAGTGTGATGTTCCCCTTCCTGTGTCCATGTGTTCTCATTGTTCAATTCCCACCTATGAGTGAGAACATGCGGTGTTTCGTTTTTTGTCCTAGCAATAGTTTGCTGAGAATGATGATTTCCAATTTCATCCATGTCCCTACAAAGGACATGAACTCATCATTTTTTATGGCTGCATAGTATTCCATGGTGTATATGTGCCACATTTTCTTAATCCAGTCTATCATTGTTGGGCATTTGGGTTGGTTCCAAGTCTTTGCTATTGTGAATAGTGCTGCAATAAACATACGTGTGCATGTGTCTTTATAGCAGCATGATTCATAGTCCTTTGGGTGTACACCCAGTAATGGGATGGCTGGGTCAAATGGTATTTCTAGTTCTAGATCCCTGAGGAATCGCCACACTGACTTCCACAATGGTTGAACTAGTTTACAGTCCCACCAACAGTGTAAAAGTGTTCCTATTTCTCCACATCCTCTCCAGCACCTGTTGTTTCCTGACTTTTTAATGATTGCCATTCTAACTGGTGTGAGATGGTATCTCATTGTGGTTTTGATTTGCATTTCTCTGATGGCCAGTGATGATGAGCATTCTTTCATGTGTCTTTTGGCTGCATAAATGTCTTCTTTTGAGAGGTGTCTGTTCATATCCTTTGCCCACTTTTTGATGGGGTTGTTTTTTTCTTGTAAATTTGTTTGAGTTCATTGTAGATTCTGGATATTAGCCATTTGTCAGATGAGTAGGTTGCAAAAATTTTCTCCCATTTTGTAGGTTGCCTGTTCACTCTGATGGTAGTTTCTTTTGCTGTGCAGAAGCTCTTTAGTTTAATTAGATCCCATTTGTCAATTTTGCCTTTTGTTGCCATTGCTTTTGGTGTTTTGGACATGAAGTCCTTGCCCATGCCTATGTCCTGAATAGTAATGCCTAGGTTTTCTTCTAGGGTTTTTATGGTTTTAGGTCTAACGTTTAAGTCTTTAATCCATCCTGAATTAATTTTTGTATAAGGTGTAAGGAAGGGATCCAGTTTCAGCTTTCTACATATGGCTAGCGAGTTTTCCCAGCACCATTTATTAAATAGGGAATCCTTTCCCCATTGCTTGTTTTTCTCAGGTTTGTCAAAGATCAGATAGTTGTAGATATGCAGCGTTATTTCTGAGGGCTCTGTTCTGTTCCATTGATCTATCTCTCTGTTTTGGTACCAGTACCATGCTGTTTTAGTTACTGTAGTCGTGTAGTATAGTCTGAAGTCAGGTAGCGTGATGCCTCCAGCTTTGTTCTTTTGGCTTAGGATTGACTTGGTGATGCGGGCTCTTTTTTGGTTGCATATGAACTTTAAAGTAGTTTTTTCCAATTCTGTGAAGAAAGTCATTGGTAGCTTGATGGGGATGGCATTGAATCTATAAATTACCTTGGGCAGTATGGCCATTTTCATGATATTGATTCCCATGAGCATGGAATGCTCTTCCATTTCTTTGTATCCTCTTTTATTTCATTGAGTAGTGGTTTGTAGTTCTCCTTGAAGAACTCCTTCACGTTCATTGTAAGTTGGATTCCTAAGTATTTTATTCTCTTTGAAGCAATTGTGAATGGGAGTTCACTCATGATGTGGCTCTCTGTTTGTCTGTTATTGGTGTATAAGAATGCTTATGATTTTTGCACATTGATTTTGTAAGCTGGGCAGAGACACAACCAAAAAAGAGAATTTTAGACCAATATCCTTGATGAACATTGATGCAAAAATCCTCAATAAAATACTGGCAAACCGAATCCAGCAGCACATCAAAAAGCTTATCCACCATGATCAAGTGGGCTTCATCCCTGGGATGCAAGGCTGGTTCAATATACGCAAATCAATAAATGTAATCTAGCATATAAATAGAACCAAAGACAAAAACCACATGATTATCTCAATAGATGCAGAAAAGGCTTTTGACAAAATTCAACAACCTTCATGCTAAAAACTCTCAATAAATTAGGTATTGATGGGACGTATCTCAAAATAATAAGAGCTATCTATGACAAACCCACAGCCAATATCATACTGAATGGGCAAAAACTGGAAGCATTCCCTTTGAAAACTGGCACAAGACAGGGATGCCCTCTCTCACCACTCCTATTCAACATAGTGTTGGAAGTTCTGGCCAGGGCAATCAGGCAGGAGAAGGAAATAAAGGGTATTCAATTAGGAAAAGAGGAAGTCAAATTGTCCCTGTTTGCAGACTACATGATTGTATATCTAGAAAATCCCATTGTCTCAGCCCAAAATCTCCTTAAGCTGATAAGCAACTTCAGCAAAGTTCTAATTTTTTAAAATTCTGATTTTTGATTATTATAATTTTAGTCAGCAAATGATAGGACTGGAAGAAAATTCTTTTTTAAATGCTATAATTAGAAAAGTTTCTTCATTGATTGACCAAGTGTTTATATTAAATTCTCTAGACATTAGTTTCATAAGTAAAGAATGAAGAGAAATAAAATACTATTTCTGAACATATTTTCTGAAACATGAGCTCAGAAAAGACTTATTTCAAGGAGTTGATTTTTATTACAGATTTTTGGCTAAAACATACATCAAACATTGAAACATATACATAACCTTATTAATTTATGTAATGCATAAAATAGGGTGCTGGTTACACTGCATTAAATGAACAATTAGTTGATTACAGTAGATAAAGCTTACTTCAGTTATGAATCAAAAGTTAGAAAGAATGAAGACAAATAATGAAATAAAAACTTACAAAATATGTCTTATTTGCCAACATATTTCCGCTAAAATGTAGTGTATTGTACTGGGATTATAGGGTACAGTATTATTGATCAACCTCTCTTATTATGGATTCAATGAAATATATGTATGTATAACTGGGAGCTAAACATTGGGTAATAATGGACACAAAGATGGGAACAACAGACACTGGGACCTGCTAGAGCGGGGAGGGAGAGAGCTGGGCAAGGGTTGAGAAACTAACTGTTGGGTACCATGCTCACTATCTGGGTGATGGGCTCATTCATATTCCAAATCTCAGCATCATGCAATACACCCATGTAACAAACTGGCACATGTACCCCTTGAATCTAAAATAAACGTTAAAATTATTTTAATAAAACAATTTAATTGACAAAATTGTATATATTTATGGTATACAATGCGATGTTTTGGAATATGTATATATACATCATGGACTGGCTAAATTAAACTAATATATACATCACTTCACATGCTTATCATATTTTTGTGGTGAGAACACTTAAAATGAACTCTCAGTGATTTTTAAGTATGCAGTGCATTGTTATTAATTATGGTTACCATGTTGTACAATAGACCTCCTGAATTTATTTGTCCTGCCTAATTGAAATTTTGTTTCTTTTAACTAATAACCCTCAAATTCCTCCTCTTCCAGTCCCTGGGAATCAAACCACCATTCTACACTCTGCTTCTATGCATTTGACTTTATTAGATTCCACATAGAAGTGAGATTATGAGGTAACTTGTCTTTCTGGATGGTTTCCTATATTTCAGCAACTGGTATTTGCCACATTAACGGATGCCAGGTGAGAATAAATGTTACCCTCAGAGAATCTAAACCCCTCAAAGCAAGAGAAGTAGGTGAAAGTAAAGAGAAACGTTTTACTAGAAGAGTGAAGATTGAGAGCTCCGTAGAGGAATGCATGGGTGGAGTAAAAAGATGAGAGATAATTGGAGATTGCAAATAGAGGTCATAACAAACTATTTTATTCATTTAGAGAGGATTAAAACAGGCTGTGAGGAAGCTTTGCATAGGAAAGAGGTCAAGAGAAAGAATGAAGTAGAGAAATTAAATAATAAATTTGCATTTGTATTCTCTTTCCAGGCTTATTCTTGTGGAGCCCTTCACTGGGCCTGTGTGTATTGCACTGATGACAGTTCACGTCATCTGCTTCCTAGTTGGGGCACAACTCAGGAACTATGAACCTGAGGTCTCACTGAAAAAGAATTCCTATCAATAATATATGGAAATATTACAAGATAATTGGAATCTAATTTAAGTTTCTATAATTCCCAAAAATGCATACATAATAATAAAAAATAGAAGCAAGAAAAATATGGGAAAATGATTTATGTAAATAGGACAAGAAGAGTTTTAATAATTAGACAAAACTGAAAACTTAAAGATGTTTCTTAAAAATAATCTTGTTAATCAATTTAGGTAACTCTACAAACTCCATGACTACTTTTGAAAGTTCATTCTTTTCCCACTTTTCTTAGAGCTGACCACTTATAAAATATATGACTACACTGTAGTAATTTTATCTGAACATGTGCTAGTGTAGAATTATTGCACTCATCTAAGACAAAGACCTTTTCGTTGGATGTGCCTCTTAGTGACTGATAACATCAGTTGGTACGGAAGAACTTGATCTTCTGAGGTGGCTTCATTGTCATCACCTTCAATATCCTTGGTCTCTATGTGTTCTAATGGACACTAATTTGGAAAAAGTGAAGGTAGATTTCAATTTTCTAAATAAATCTAAATGAATTACTAATGGGTGTTTTCTTCTTATGGGACACTTAGGAATATTCTGACATCTCTGTGTCTTTCCAGTCTTGGAAACATACAGACAACTTGCATTCAGGCCATGTATCTCCCACACCCCACTGGGCATAATTAAAGCACTACACAAATTAGTTGAGTAATACTGAGGGAAAACATGAAGAGGAATTAATGGCTGCAGTAATGAGGCAAGGTTTTGGAATGTAGGTGAACTTTCAGTAAATGAAGAAATTGATCAATAGTCACGGGACTCATTAAGCTAACAAGATGACTGATAATTTCCTGGAGCTCATACTCAGAGTTCTGTCTCTTGAGTGTTCCTCCCTGGATTAATCCTGGTGAGTCTAGTGAGTAACAGCTGATGTAGGTAGGGACCCTTGGGTAACTGAGAGGCCAAGAAGTGAGCGTAACTCTGGGGCTGAGACAATTAGTAGTCCCAAAGCATCTGTAGGAGGAATGTTGTAAGTAAGAAGGAAAGACAGAGCTGGAAGATGTTGGAGTAATTGTAAGGCTACAGGTAAAATCTGACTCATTGCAGGAACAAACAGAACTTCTAATGCTTGAATTAGATCACTTTATTTACCTTGCTATCAATATTTTCTTTCAAAGAACATGAAAATAAAACATTGAGAGTTTAGGTTTTCAAAAGGATAAATATAAGTTTATACCCAGCAATGGGATCGCTGGATCATATGGTGGCTCTATTTTTAGCTTTTTGAGGAACTTCCACACTCTTCTCCACAGTGGTTGTACTAATTTTGCTTGAGAGGATGGATACCCCATTCCATGATGTGATTATTATACATTGCATGCCTGTATCAAAACCTCTCATGTACTTCCTAAATACATACACCTACTATGTATCCACTAAAATAAAAAATAAAAATAAATAAAATCTGTGCCTTTGTTTTAGAAAGTTCTCATTAGAAACATTGACATTAAAATTAGTGAATATTAAGTAACTTTAAGAACCATGAAAGCTTTTGCAAATAAAGAATTAATAAAGTGAAGAGTACTGTTTAGTGTTAAATAAAAGGATAAATACGGTTGAAAAATCTTCTCTTTGAAATAATAAAACAGGAATAGTTTCTTTAGAATTATTCCTATGTAAATTGTTGACACTGGTCATTAATTGGCTTTTAATATTATATGATTCTTGGGCATAAACCTTGATGTATCATGCTCAAGAACAGTGCACTAGTGAGTTTCTACTTGCTATTATGTTTATTCCATACTACAAATTTGAAGAGGGAAGAAAATTTTTATTTTGCATCTGAATTTGTCAATTACAAACAAATTAGAGATTTTTATATAATCCCTACCCATAAATCTACCTATCAAAAAAATCTACAAAATGACAATAAATCTGCCTCAGTGATGTTTTTAAAGTTTTTGTACCAAACAGATCTACAGACATGACTAATCATTTTATAGATAAGAAACAACTAAGAAACTTGAAAAGAAATAAAAATAATTTCAACTATTTTATTGCTAATAAATTAATTTTTGATTTTTGGCTATTATTTATTCAATTTATTATTCTGATTACTCTGCTCCCCTTTTTAGGTAACTCTAATTACCAGAAAATTAGTCCCCTAGAAGTTGCCCACTGCCCACTGATGATTTGTTTATTTATTCTCTTTTCTTTACATGTGTTGTTTGGGGTACTTTCCATTACTGTCACTTCACATTCACCAATCCTTTATTTCCCACATCTAAACTGCTACTAATCCTATCTAGTATATTTTTATTTCATACATTACAATGTTTAAAATCATAAGATGCAATATTTTGTTATTTTTATGTATTTTATGTTCAACTGAACTTTTTTAAGCTTATAGAATACACCTACTCAGCAAGGTGTAGAGGAACTCACTGGGGAAAGCACAGTCTTCTCATTACACAGTGCAGGGGCGACTGCATAGCCACATGCAGAAGAATGAATGTGAACTCCTATTTCACCCCAGAAGGAAAAAAGAAAGCAAAATGTATCATTGCCCTAATTATAGGAGCTAATGTAATAAATCAATTAGAAGAAAAAATAGGGTTATTCATGACCTAAGGCATACAAAAATTCATAGAAATACAGGAAAAGCACAAGCAACAAAAGAAAACATAGATAATTTGATTCCATCAAAATCTGTTTAAAAGATTTTCTGCTTCAAAAGGCATCATCAAGAAAACCCACAAATATGTGGAAATTAAACAATGCACATTAAAAATAAGAAATATAAGAATAATAACTGCTTTAAAATAATAACTGCTATATAAAAAAACACAGAATGAATGGCTTATGTGAACAGAAATGTATTTCTCACAGTTCTGGAGGATGGAAATCTGAAATCAGAGTGCCCAGCATGGTTGGGTTCTGGTAAGGGCCCACTTCTGGTGGCAGGCATCCCTCTTCTCATTGTGTCCTCAGATGATAGATAAAAGGCAAGAAAGTGCTCATGGACCTTTTTTTAAAATGGGCAATAATCCTACTCATGAAGGCTCCACTCTCATGACCTAATTACCTCCTAATTGTCTCACTTCCTAATACCATCGAATGGTGGCTGTAATTTCAATACCAATTTTGGGAAAAACCAACTTTCAGTTCATAATAAACTCCAAGGAACTAGAAAAAGAAGAACAAACTAAACCCAAAGTTAGCAAAAGTAAAGAAATAATAAGTATTAAAGCAGTGATGAATAAAATAGAGAACAAAGAAAAACAAATTTAAATATTAACAAAAACAAGAGTGGATTTTTAAAGAAGATAAAATTGAAAAAAATCTAGAGAAACTAAGAAAGATAGAAAACTAAAATAAAATTAGCAATATAAGAGAAGGCATTTCAACTAATGTCATAGAAATGAAAAGAATTATAACAGACTACTAGGAGTAATTCTACACTAACAAACTGCGTAACATAGAAGAAATGAATTAATTCCTGGAAACATTTAACTTATCAAGAGTGAATCACTCCTAAATTTCAAAAAAATCTGAACAGACTTGTAAGTGGTGAAAAAATTGGAGTAGTAAAAAACATCTCAATAAAGAAAAGTGCATAACGAGAAGGCTCCATTGGAGAATAATACCAAACATTTCAAGAATAATTTTATTTTTTTGAGAAAAGGTCTCACTTCTGACACCCAGGCTGAAGTGCAGTCATATGACTGTGGCTCACTGAAGTCTTGATTTCCTGGGCTCAGGTGATTCTCCCACCTCAGCCTCCTAAACAGCTGAGACCACAGGTGCACATCACCATGCCTGCCTAATTTTTGCGTTTTTTGTAGAGATGGGTTTTCACCATGTAGTCCAGGCTGACCTTGAACTCCTGGGTTCAAGTGATCTACCTGCCTCAGCCTCCCAAAATGCTGGGATTACAGGCATGAGCCACTGTGCCTAGCCTTTAAGAATAATTGACAACAATCTCTCTCAAACTCTTGTAAATAATTGAAGAGAAAGCAGCATGCCAAAACTTATCCTTGATGCCTGCATTGCCCTGATACCACATCCAGACAAAAACACAAGGAAAAAAAATACATAGCAATATTTCAATACTTCAATGAATATCAATGCAAAAATCCTGAATAAAATTCTAATAAATTAAATTTGACAGCACATTAAAGTGAGCATACTCATGGCCAGGTAGGATTTATACCTGAAATGCAAGAATGATTCTTTTGCAGGACAGGTGAGCCCCAAAATTGGGGCTGAGCCCAGGAGGGTTCTTGGCTTTGCCTAGGAAAAAATTCAAGGGTGAGCCGGTGGTGTTACACAGTAATCTATAATTGAATGATACTGCCCCTTTTGGAGCAGGGCTTACTCATAGGCAGTGTGCCCAGGGTGGGCAATGTATAGGCTCTTGGCAACTGCATACTCAAGTAAACCCACTTCCAATTACATGCAAATTAAGGTATGGATCAATGCAAACTGAGAAGTGGGTTATTTAGCACTTTCTAGGAAAGAAGAGATAAACTTCAAGCTGTTTCTATAGAAAGGGGTGGTGACTTCTGGGTCTAGTGGAAGTAACTTATGCTAATGAGCAACAACAGCAGCTAGGGATCCCCTTCATTGTCCAATGCTGGTTCCTGCTGGTTTCTTCACTTTATCCTGTCTGGACCAGATTCTGTTTTGGTCAGCAAGTTTGTGGCCAGAAAATAAGCCCTGCTGGTCTCCCACCTCATTCATCCCTTAGAGATTAGATACTTATCCTTAAGGAGGCTGCAGAAAGGTGGAGGTCTGTCTTCTGTAACTGCTTCTTGCTGATTTTATGGGCATAAGGCCTGCCTAACACTGGGTGAGTAAAAACATTTGAATGTTTGATTTAAGGGGGCCAACAGTAGGATGTTTTCATTTTCTGGGTCAGAACACAGGTTGAGTTGGAAGCCATCCTTTTTACATGGAATCTATAAGATATAAACTTTACTAGGAGGTTGAACAACAAACTTACAATTAGAAGGAAGAGAAAAATTAATGCTTCTTTCCCACTCACAGCATCATGTTATTTATCTATGCATTTGTGAAATAAAAGCTTTACCTCTTTTATGGGTCTACAAGTGTAAGTTGTGGTGTTCTCCTTCTCTGCCTACAGGGACTTAAAAGAAACAGGTTTAATCCTTGAAAGGTGTACCCAGCTAGTGATTCTCTGAAGTTTAACAGCAGTGAAGATACTTAACAATACACAATGACAGCTCTTTCATTTTGGTTGTAATTGATCCTTCGGGAATTTTTTAAAAGAGTTTTTAGTAAGACTATGTCTTCTGGAGGAGGCAACACTTTATTTCTCTATTCTTTAAGGGACCTGTAAACCTAGCCTAAATTTTAAAGAGGGCATAGTGAGGTGTGTTTTACCCCATTTCCCATCATGAGCTAAACTTGCTTTCTTAGATTTCTTTCAGATTTCTTTTGGCCAAAGAACTGAGAGTCAAAAGGCTTATAGCCAATTAAATATTTTAAGCCAGAAGGGAATGAAGGTGGACAGACTCTTATTAGCTCTTAAAATTCTTTTAAGCCATATAAGAGTAAAAAACTAAAAGCCAAAAATAAGGTTATATATCAAGAAAAACCAAGAGTATGGAATCAAGCTAAATTGGGAAAAAACTTTGCTCTCAAAGAATTTTAAGTCAAAACGCTTTAGCATCAGACCACAATAAATATCAGAATCAGAGGAGAAAAACTCACAGAAGTTGGTGCAAAAGCTAAAGGAGAGAGCCATTATCCTAGGCCTTTTTAAAGGGAGAAAGAGCTGAAAACAACAAGACACAACCATGATTGAAATTTGGAGACACAAATATGAGAAGTTTTAAAAGAAACTAGTTAGGAATGAAAGGCAAAATTTTCTGTAATTTAGCAAATGAATACCTTAAGAAAACCTAATTTCAATATGTAGACCATTTTTAGAAAGTCTATGTTTTTTAAATTACAGCTAACTTAATCACATACAAAATTTCTTTAATAATGTCCCCTTTATGAACCTTGTGTCAACTTACAGAGACCATCTATCACATGCTGGGACTTTCTCACTTGTCTCATATTACTTCTTTACTTCTTTCTTAAATAACTAGTCATTTTACTCCAGGACAAGAATTTATTATACTAGTTTTTTTTGTAGAAAATTACTCTTTTTATAATCCTTCATTGCAAAAAGTACATTTTCTATTTACAACATTCTTTACATGTCTTTTTTTCTATTCACTGCTTCCTTCATCATTTGAATCTCCATTTTAGTAATTTCCAAATTAGACAAAAATTGCTCTTTTTCCCAATAAAAAATATATACCTTTGGCACATTTTATATAAACTTAGGAAGCAAGAAATCCTGAACTGACCACCAGACATTGACATCTATAGATGAGAATTGTTTCACAATTTTAAGGTTTTTAACTATGCAAAAAGATCACTACTTAAAGCCATTGTAATTATTCAAAGGCCTGCAAACATTACTGGTTTACCTAGATGAAAAATTTAAAGTCAATTGGAGAAGACACAACATTCTCTTCAAACTAATAAGTTTAGAATAGTCTCATTTGTTTAATTTTATGAGTGCTCTTTTATTCATAAGCCAATTTGATACTATCCTAGACACAATACATACCACACAGACAAACTGACTAATATATCACAGGTGGATGCAAGTTATTTACAAAACTGGGACCTGTCTACCTGGCCAAATTTGTGTGCCCTGATATGTATGAAAGTTAGGAAAAGGCAGGAAAGAGATTCCCATAGCATCAAATAAGGGAGGAGTGAAACCATATTGCTCAAGGGGAGACCTCAGAGTCCCTGAGCCACCAGAGAGCTTCTCCAGGAGCAGAGACACCCGGTGGCCACTTTCCTGCTACTGTGGGAAGCTGTCCATTGGGTCAAGGGTCCAATACCCCCCCAGTAAACTTACTTGAGCAAAGCAGCTTGAGGGGTCTAGTGGAAGAAGTTTAGTTTTTGTATTGACGGGGACCTTTTTTTTTGTCTCTCATCAGGGATGGTTAGGACATTCTCAATGTCAATAGCCTTTTTGCTTATGGTAGGCAAACTGATTCTGGCCCAGGGGCTGGTGAGCCAGGGGCTCTTCTCTAGGCATCCCAGATGTTGATCTTGCAATACTTTATTGGGATGAGAAACACTGAGAGGCAGGGGACTGAAAGCATTTTCTAATAATTGCAATTTTGAGCTATTTGTTTTATTTTTTCTACTTCTTTTGCCCTGTTTCCATTGTTGTAAAGTTTAAAGACCACATTAAGAGTTGGCTCATAGGGCTTTGTGTCCCCATTGCTGTTTTGTGTAGCTTCCTCCTAATGTCAGGGTAGATTGACTAATAAAATATATGTCCAGGAGAGCCTGCCCTTCTAGGAAGTCTGGGTCTGCAATCGTATATTTCCTGAGCGCCTCAACCAATACATGTCCCAAATACATATGGCTTAACCATACATGTCTTTCTCCACTTTTTTTCTATGGCACAGAAAACAGGAGACAATATTTACAAGTCATGACCTAAATTAAACAGCATATTCAACTTAACAAATTCCTCTATAAACTTTTATGGATCCACTGAAAAATGGCCATCTGTTTCCTTTTATGAAGTCAAATCACATCTAGAAAATGGCACACATACCGTAAGTGTTCCCTCATTTCTATCAACTACCTCCTGCAATGGAGACAGCTTTGACTTTAGGGGCTGATATGGGGTCCCACTCCTGGTGGTACTGGTTGGACTTACTTTCTCAGTCATCAGAGGGTATATGCTTGGGTTAGCTGGATAAAGAGGAGGGGTGTCTGATGACCTTGGGATGGAATTTTTCATTAGAGGACTGGCGGGACCCCCCTCAGAACTGGGGACCTGAGGAGGCTCCAGGGAGGGCATAGGCCTTCTAGTGGGAGCAGCTAGGAGGGGATCCCTTAGGCGTGGCTTCCTGGTGCCTGGAAGTAACGTGAGTCAGTAAAATGCCTTAAAAGCCTGTACAAAAGGAACCTCCTCCCATTTTCCTTTGTATTTTTCACAGAACAAGTCTAATTGCAAAGTATCATTGTAATGCAAAGAATGATGCCTAGGCCAGATCTGTTGGTTTTCTAATTTGTATTAAACTTAAACTACATAGCAATACAAAATGAGTTTTTTTTTTAATAGGTGAATTTGAATTCGCTCCAATAACATAAAACACACCCTAGTGGCAAGTCCCCTGGGACGCTCATCATTGTCCCCATGTCTAATAAGGATTTCTGCTGGACACAGAGGTTTTTCTAAGTCTAGTAAGATGGAAAGCAAGTGGACTCTTGTTATTTTTCCCTTTTAGATTCCCACCTCCTGTAGAGAAGGTGTAAGTGCAGTTAGCAAGGGTTACACAAGTGGATTATAAGCATTTAGCAGTGAATGAAATATAACAAAAGAAGTATTTTTGTTAAAAAAGTGTAGAAGGAAAACTGTAAATAAAGTGACAATTAGAAAAGAAAATGTTGTTATGGAAAATGATAACTTTAGGGCAGAAAACAGGAGAAGGCAAGACCAAGATTTCCCCAGGGTGGGCCTTCAGCCCACAGTCTTATAGGGAATGCCAGAGCCGAAAACCCTGGAGGAAGCAGGGGGCAGCCAATACCAGATGCTGAAAACCTGGAGTACCCCAAGTATCAGCCACCGAGGGTCCCCACTCCAAATGCCAGAAACCCCAGAGTTTCTGGGGGCCGACCATCACCAAAATCGCCGGAGCATCCAGTGGGCAGCCAATAGCAAATGCCAAAGGCCTGATTGGGGCCACAGAACAATGTGACTCTGGCATCCCAGAATAACACAAAGGAGACCTCTCACAACTAGTTGTCCTGCCTTAAAAAATTGCTCAGAAAGTCAAAGTAAAAAAAAAAAATCTGCAAAAGAAACCAACATTTTAAGACTGAACCTAAAAGCTGGCAGAACAGTAAAATGCAGACAGAGGAGAAGGGACTGGGGATGGGGTGACAAGGATATGCTTTGGGGCACCCAAATGTTGAAGGGCTTTCAACTGACCATCTAGCCAGAGGCTTTTACTCCTTAGCTTACCTGATATTGCAGGGAGCAGAGGGGACACTCACACATCCACAGGAGACAAAATGGCACAAACCAGTCTTCCATGAGGAACCCAAGTAAAGGTCTTTCCAGGTTCCCTCAGCTTGTGTGGGCTTGGCTGCCGTACAGGGGGCCAGTGTGAGGACCAGCAATCTGCCAGCCTCCTGGTCTGAGTGGCAGGTCCCACATGAAGCAATGGCACTGTGATGGTTAATAGTGAGTGTCAACTTGATTGGATTGAAGGATGCAAAGTACTGATCCTGGGTGTGTCTGTGAGGGTTTGGCAAAGTAGGTTAACATTTGAGTCAGTGGGCTGTGAAAGGCCAACCCACCCTTAATCTGAGTGGGCACAATCTAATCAGCTGCCGGTGTGCCTAGGATAAAAGCAGGCAGAAGAACGTGAAGAGACTAGAATGACTTAGCCTCTCAGCCTACATCTTTCTCCTGTGCTGGATTCTTCCTGCCCTTGAACATCAGACTTCAAGTTCTTCAGCTTTGGGACTCGGACTGGCTTCCTTGATACTCAGCATGCAGCGGGCCTATTGTGGGACATTGCGATCATGCGAGTTTAATACTCCTTAATAAACTCATATGTGTTTGTGTGTGTGTGTATATATATGTATGTATATACATGTATATATGTGTGTATATACATGTGTATATATGTATGTATATACATATGTGTGTATATATGTATGTATATACATGTGTATATACGTATGTATATACATATGTGTGTATATATGTATGTATATACATGTGTATATATATGTATGTATGTATGTATGTATATACATATATCCTATTAGTTCTGTGCCTCTACAGAACCTTGACTAATACAGATTTTGGTACCAGGAGTGATTCTAGTGGAACAGAATATTAAGGATGGAGTTCTTTCATTGGTTTGGAGGTTTCTGGAATTGGCTGCTTAATATGATTAGACCCAAAAATGCTAAGAGCTCTACTTCCAATAGTATGGAGAACACTGATAGCCCTTGGTGTGAACTGTTTAGAGAGTTATGCAAAATAAGTGCATTTGACATCCTGATTCACCACTCATGAGAGACAAGGAGTTTAGTGACTCTCTACATCATACTTTTGACCATACGTGGAGAACCAAGGAACATAATGAAGCTGGTTGGTTCCTCCTAAGTTCAGTGGACAAAATTATGAAAGAAAATGATGAGCTCAGGGATTCTAACTCGTGGCTTCTGAAGCAGATACTGAGCCTCAAATCTGCTAAGATTGCCCTGAGTGAGAGTCTTATCTCCTGTAGAGAAAGACCTAAAATCGTGGAAAATCTGACACAAACTCCTATCATGCACGTGGCTGACCTGCAATGAAAGGTGCATGCACAGCCTCACCAGGTGTCTACTGTTAAAGTGAGGGCATTGACTGGAACATATTGGGATCCTGCAACTTGGAATGGGGATGTGTGGGAGGACCCTGATAAAGCTGAGGACCCTGAGCTTGCAAACTCTGATGAATCTTCTTTGCCAGAAGAGACAGCTTTCCCATCCCCAGTAGTGGCAACATCTCCTCCCCAATCCACACTGCCATCAGCCTTTCCATATTTGTCTGAGGAGATAAACCCTGCACTGCCTGAGGTGACAGTGATGGCCTCCCCTGAGGCAGCTGCCAGGCAAGATAATGTTGATTCTTCTCAGGAGCCACCCCAACACCTATGTTTGTTTCTAGACCTATAACTAAAGTCCCATCAGGCCCCTAAAGGTGAGGTTCAGAGTGTGACCCATGAGGAGGTGTGCTACATTCAAAAAGAACTGCTTGAGTTTTCTAATTTATATAAGCAGAAATCTTGGCTGGGTGTGGTGGCTAGGCTTGTAATCCCAGCACTTTAGGAGGCTGAGGCAGGTGGATCAACTGAGGTCAGGTGTTCAAGATCAGCCTGGCCAACATGGTGAAACACTGTTTCTAATAAAAATACAAAAATTAGCAAGGCATCATGGCAGGTGCCTGTAATCCCAGCTACTTGGGAGGCTAAGGCAGGAGAATCACTTGAACCTGGCAGGCAGAAGTTGCAGTGAGCTGCGATCACACCACTGAACTCCATCCTGGGCAACAAGAGTGAAATTCCATCTCAAAAAAAAAAAAAAAAAGAAATCTTGAGAAGAGGCAAGAGAATGGATATTAAGGGTGTGGGATGATGGTGGAAGGAACATAGAGTCGGATCAGGCTGAATTTATTGATTTGGCCCACTAAGGATGGATTCTGCATTCAATGTTGCACTTGGGCAGTTAAAAAAGCTTCTAATACTTTGTTTGTTTAGCTGAAATATGGATTAAAAGCTGGCCCACTGTGAGAGAGCTGCAAATGTGTTGTCTCCCCTGGTTTAATGTAGAGGAAGGAATCCAAAGGCTTAGGGAGATTGGGATGCTGAAGTGGATTAGTCACATTAGACCTCCTCATCCCAGCTGGGAGGGTCCAGAAGCTATACCCCTGACCAATGCTTTGCAAAATAGATTTGTGAGGGCAGCACCTGCATCTTTGAAGAGCCTTGTACTTGCTCTTCTCTGTATGTCAGCTCTAACAGTGGGAACCACAGCCACTCTACTACAAAATGTAAATTCAGTCGGAATAGTTGGATCCCGAGGTGGCAGGGGCCAAGTGGTGCAGTCAACTATCAAAGGCAAGGTGGGCATAGCTACCATAATGAACAGCAGAGGCAAACTAGCAATCAGAATTGTCTGACTTGTATAGAGCTCTGTCATTGGCTAATTAATCATGCTGTTCCTAGAAGTGAAATTGACAGGAAGCCTATTGCATTCCTACTTAATTTATAAAAGCAGAAAACTTCCAGGTCGAGTGAACAAAAGACTAGTTTGAATTATGAAAAGAGAGAATCATGGGCCCCTCAACTAATTTTCAGACTTGAGCCAGTTTACAGACCCAGAACCCCCTGAATGAAGGGGAGGCCAGGTCCTTTTCAGTAAGGACCCCACTACACTACCAAAAATTTACAATGTCAATCTTTCTCCCATCCTTCCCCGGGGCGAACCCTGGCATTTTACAAGGGTAACTGTGCACTGGGGAAAGGGAAATCATCAGACATGTTGGGGACTACTGGACACTCGTTCTGAGCTGACATTGATTCCAGGGAACCCAAAACATCATTGTGGTCCTCCAGTACAAGTAGAGGGTTATGGAGGTCAGGTAATTAATGGAGTTTTAACTAAGGTCAAACTTACAGTGGGTCCAGTGAGTGAGTCCCTGGACTCATCCTATGGTCTTTTCCCCAGTGCCAGAATGAATAATTGGCATAGACATACTTAGCAGCTGGCAGAACCCCCACCTTGGATCCCTGACTCGTAAGGTTAGGGATTTTATGGTGGAAAACACCAAATGGAAACCATTAGAGCTGCCTCTACCTAGAAAAGTAATAAATCAAAAACAGTATTACATCCCTAGAGAAATTGCAGAGATTAGTACCACCATCAAGGACTTGAAAGACACAGGGGTGGTTATTCCCACCACATCCCCTTTCAACTTTCCCATTTGGCCTGTGCAGAAGACAGATGAATCTTGGAGAATTACAGTGGATTATCATAAGCTTAACCAAGTGGTGACTCCAATTGCAGCTGCAATAGCAGATGTGGTTTCGTGGCTTCAGCCAATTAACACATCTCCTGGTACCTAGTATGCAGCCATTGATTTGGCAAATGCCTTTTTCTCCATTCTTGTCCATAAGGCCCACCAGAAGCAATTTGCCTTCAGCTGGCAAGGCCAGCAGTATACCTTCACTGTCCTACCTCATGGGTATATCAACTCGCGGGCTTTGTGTCATAATCTTGTTTGAAGAGACTTTGATCACTTTTCACTTCCACAAGATATCACACTGGTCCATTACATTGATGATGTTAGGATTACCAAGCCCTGTGATTAAGATCAATGGGAAACTACAGCAGCCCAATCCAGGCAGGACTACAAATGGCCCAGCAGCTGATTGGATCCATTGAGCAAGAAGTAGCAAACATGCTGGACTTATTGGTGAGACATTTGCATGCCAGAGGATAGGAAGCAAATCGGACTAAAATTCAGGAAAGTTCTACCTCAGTAAAATGTCTAGGGGTCCAGTGGTGTGGGGCCAGTTGAGATATTTCTTCTAAGGTGAAGAATAAGTGGCTGCATTTGGTCCTTCCTACAACCAAGAAAGAGGCGAAAGAGGCACAACGCCTAGTGGACCTATTTGGATTTTGGAGGCAACAAATTCCTTATTTGGGTGTGTTACTCCAGCCTGTTTACTGAGTGACCCAAAAGGCTGCCAGTTTTGAATTGGGTCCAGAACAGGAGAAGGCTCTGCAATAGGCTCAAGCTGCTGTGTCAGCTGCTCTGCCACTTGGGCCATATGACCCAGCTGATTCAATAGTGCTTGAGGTGTCAGTGGCAGATAGGGATGCTGTTGGAGCTTCTGGCAGGTCCCCATAGGTGAACCACAGTGGAGGCCTCTAGGATTTCGGAGCAACGCCCTGCCATCTTCTGCAGATAACTACTCTCCTTTTGAGAGACAGCTCTTGGGCCTATTACTGGGCTTTGGTTGAAACCAAAGATTTGACTATGGATCATCAAGTCAACATGTGACCTGAACTGCCTGTCATGAACTGGGTGCTTTCTGACCCATCCAGCCATAAAGTGGGTCATAGACAGCAGCATTCCATCATCAAATGAAAGTAATATATACTTGATCGGGCTCCAGCAGGTTCTGAAGGCACAAGTAAGTTACATGAGGAAATAGCTCAAATGCCCATGGTCTCCAGTCCTGCCACCCTGCCTTCTCTCCCCCAGCCTGCACCAATGGCCTCATGTGGAGTTCCCTATGATCAGTTGACAGAGGAAGAGAGAACTAGGGCCTGATTTGCAGATGTTTCTGTACAATATGCAGGCACAACCAGAGAGTGGACAGCTGCAGCACTACAGATCCTTTCTAGGACATCCCTGAAGAACAGCGGTGAAGGGAAACCTTCCCAGTGGGCAGAAATTCAAGCAGTGCACCTGGTTGTGCACTTTGCATGGAAGGAGAAATGGCCAGATGTGTGATTATATACTGATTCATAGGCTGTAGCCAATTGTTTGACTGGATGGTCAGGGACTTGGAAGAAGCATGATTGGAAAATTGGTAACAAAGAAATTTGGGGAAGAGGTATGTGGATGAAACTTTCCTAGTTGTCTAAAACTGTGAAGATATTTGTATTCCATGTCCGTGCTCACCAATAGGTGACCTCAGCCGAGGAAGATTTTAATAATCAAGTGAATAGGATAACCTGTTCTGTGGACACCACTCACCACCAGCCACCTGTCATTGCCTAATGGGCCCATGAACAAGGTGGCCATGGTGGCAGGGATGAAAGTTATGCATGGGCTCAGCAACATGAATTTCCCCTCACCAAGGCTGACCTAGCTATGGCCACTGCTGAGTTCCCAATTTACCAGCAGCAGAGACCAACACTGAGCCCTTGATATGGCACAATTCCTCGGGGTGAACAGCCAGCTACTTGGTGGCAGGTTGATTATATTGGACCTCTTCCATCATGAAAATGGCAGAGGTTTGTCTTTACTGGAATAGACCCTTACTCTGGATACAGGTTTGCCTATCATGCATGCAATACTTCTGCAAGGACTTCCATCTGTGGACTCATGGAATGCTTTATCCACCGTCATGGTATTCCACACAGCATTGCCTCTGACCAAGGCAGTCTATGGTTAAAGAAGTGTGGCAGTGGGCTCATGCTCATGGAATTCACTGGTCTTACCATGTTCCCCATCATCCTGAAGCAGCTGGATTGATAGAATGGTGGAATGGCCTTTTGAAGTCACAATTACAATGCCATCTAGGTGACAATACTTTGCAAGGGTGGGGCAAAGTTCTCCAGAAGGCCGTGTACATGCTGAATCAGTGTCCATTATATAGTACTGTTTCTCCCATCGCCAGGATTCATGGGTCCAGGAACCAAGGGGTGGAAGTGGAAGTGGCACCACTCACCATCGCCTCTAGTGATCCACTAGCAAAATTTTTGCTTCCTGTTCCTGCAACATTATCTTCTGCTGGCCTAGAGGTCTTAGTTCCAGAGGGAGGAGCACTGCCACCAGGAGACCCAACAAAAATTCCATTAAACTGGAAGTTAAGATTGCCCCCTGGACACTTTGTTCTCCTCCTATTCTTAAGTCAACAGGCTAAGAAGGGAGTTACAGTGTTGGCTGGGGTGGTTGACCGGAATTATCTAGATGAAATCAGCCTACTACCCCACAGTGGAGGTAAGGAAGAGTATTCATGGAATACAGGAGACCCCTTGGGGCTCTCTTAGTATTACCATGTCCTGTGATTAAGGTCAATGGAAAATTACAGCAGCCCAATCCAGGCAGGACTACAAATGCCCCAGACCCTTCAGAAATGAAGATTTGGGTCACTCCACTGGGAGAAGAAACACAACCTGCTGAGGTGCTTGCTGAAAGCAAAGGTAACACAGAATGGGTAGTAAAAGTAGGTAGTCATCAATACCAGCTATGACCACGTGACCAGTTGCAGAAACAGGGATTGTAATTGTCATTACTATTTTATCCTCCTTTTGATAAAAACATGTTTGTGAATGTATGCACTTGTACTAAGGAAATCCCTTCATTTTATTTCCTTTTTTCTTTATCATGTGACATAAAATTATTGACTTCATATCAGCATTTAAGTGTTGTTAACTTTATATAATAGCATTTGGGTTGGGGATTGGTGTGTTTCTGGTTGTATGAAGGATAGTTGTATCATGTTAGGCATAATTAAGACCTTATTATTGTCTTTATTTGAAGATTATGTATGATCTCAGGAGATGTGTATAGGTTAAGTTCACAAGGAGTGGATATGTAATGGTTAATACTGGGTGTCAAATTGAATGGATTGAAGGAGGAAAAGTATTGATCCTGGGTGTACCTCTGAAGGTGTTGACAAAGGAGGTTAACATTTGAGTAAGTGGGCTGGGAAAGGCCAACACACCCTTTTATCTGAGTGGGCACAATCTGGCTGCCAGCACAGTTAGGACAATTCTTCAGCACAGGCAGGAGAACATGAAAAGACTGGACTGAGCCTAGCCTCCCAGCCTACATCTGTCTCCCTTGCTGGATGCTTCCTGCCCTCAAATATTGGACTTCAAGTTCTTCAGCTTTGGGACTCGGACTGGCTTCCTTGCTCCTCAGCCTGCAGATGGCCTATTGTGGGACGTTGTGATCATGTGAGTTTAATACCCCTTAATAAACTCCCCTATATGGGAGAGTTGAAACTCCCCTATATAGGAGAACTTGAAGTCCAATGTTTGAGGGCAGGATTTAAAATAAATAAGTGACAAATTGAGGCCGGGCATGGTGGCTCATTTCTGTAATCCTAGCACTTTGGGAGGCCTAGGTGGGTGGATCACATGAGGTCAGGAGTTCAAGACTAACCTAGCCAACATAGTGAAACCCTGCCTCTACTAAAAATACAAAAAAAGTAGCCAGGCATGATGGTGGGCGCCTGTAATCCCAGTTATTCGGGAAGCTGAGGCAGGACAATAGCCCGAACTTGGGAGGTGAAGGTTGCAGTGAGCCAAGATCATGCCACTGCACTCCAGCCTGGGTGACAGAGCAAGACTCTGTCTCAAAAAATAAATAAAAATAAAATAAACAATTGATAAATTGAAAAGGCAATCTGTGGAATAGGAAACAATAATCCAAAATCATGTATCTGATAAAGAGTTAAAAAATAACGACAAAACAACCTGAATTAAAAATGGACAAGTGACTTAAATAGATATTGCTCCAAAGAAGATATACACATGGCCAATAAGCATATGAAAAGATGTTCAATATTTCTAAGTCAAAATTAGGGAAATTCAAGTCAAAATAACCACAAGATCTTACATCACATTTATCAGGATGGACACTATCGAGAAAACAGAAAATAATGTGTTGGTGAGGAACTGGGGAAGTTTGAACCCTTGTTTGTGCCCTGTTGGTGGGAATGTAAAATGATGCAGTCGTTATGAAAGAGTTTCACTGTTGCAAGATGAAAAATTTCCAGAGATCTGTTGCTCAACAATGCAAATATACTTAACATTACTGTACTGTACTCTTAAAAATGGTTAAAAATGGTAAAGATGGTTAAGTGGGGATTGGAAAGTTACCTATTGGGTATAGCATATCATTTTCCTACCATAATAAAAGTACACCATCGAAAAGACAATCCACGATGAATGGGAGAAAATATTTGAAAATTGTATGTGTAATTTATGTTTATTAATGAATATAAATTACATTTATAATAATATAATTTATATATTATTATCTACATAATGTCATAGATGTCACAAAAATATTATACATGTCACATACATTTTTGAAAGACTAAAACATTCTGAAACTATTATTATATATTAGTGAATAGCAGACTTACATGAAATAGAAATACTTTAAAACAATTTTGTTGGCTTATTTTAATTTTTTTTAGCAAAATAGTTGTTACTACGTTGCCCAGGCTACAGTGCAAAGTGGCTTTTCACAGGTGTGATCATGGCACACTACAGCCTAAACCCCTGAACTCAAGTGAATTCAAGGCCTTAGCCTCTTAAGTAGCTGGGATTACAGACACTCCCCATCATGCCCAATATGAAAATATTTTTAAATGAGTTAAATTGTATGGAACTGACTCAGGAAGAAGTGTAAAGCCCAAATTATCCTACAATACTATAGAAACTGAATCAGGGATGAGAAAATATTTCCATAAAGAAAATATCTAGCATACAGAAGAGAATAATAGACATTGGAGCCTCCAAAAGGGGGGAGGTTGGTGTGGAAGTGGGGATTGGAAAGTTACCTATTGGGTATAGTGTTCATTATTTGGGTGATAGGTAAGTTATAAAAGCCCAGACTTTACCACTATGCAATATATCGGTGTAACAAAACTGCACTTGCATACTCTAAATCAAGTTTTTAAAAAAGAAAAAAAAATCCAGCATGAGTACTTGCAAAGGTGAATTGTACTCAATATTTAAGCAATATATATATATATATTTAACGCATGCAAAGTCTAGTGGGGAAAGTAGAAATATGATCTAACATATTTTAGATATTTAGATGTAGCTTCACACCAAAACCATACAATGGCATTAGAAGAAAAGGAGTGACAGGCCAATCCTTACAGGAGACGTAGGTTTCAGTATAAAAAACAAAACAGTACATCAATAAAAAATCATGACCACATTCGAATTACTCCCGTAGTGCAAGTTTTCATCAACGTAATGAAACCTATTATAACAGATTAACACATTAACACATGATAAAATGCTAAAATTATCTCACTATAGAAAAATATTCAACAAAGTACCATTCAAGAAAAAAGCCACCCCTGGACACTAGGGTGAAATAAATTTTCTCTTCCATCTAGTTAATAGATCAATATTAATTACACTGAACTAAAATAAGATGGCTAAGAAGAATTTCTTCTATTACGACTTAGTAGACTTGGGTTATTGTCATCAATAATTATAATAATTTATGAACATTGTTTTTAGATATTAAGAGAAGTTAGAAAGTTAGTGAGAATTCTTGAGATAAATACATGAAAGCCATGCAAGTTCATATACCACTATCAACTTTGAGATGTTTTTTAATATCCCACTTGATAATGCATCAAGAATATTATTTGTTGGCAGAATATATAAACATGTGAAAAATATAATGAACAATGAACAAATATAATTAAATAGGATTATATACTGTGTTCATGAATAGAATTTTTCAATGTCATAAAGCTATTATCAGTTATCCAAAATTTGCACGAAAATACCAGTCAATGATATTGATGAGGTTTATGAGTTCAAGAAGCAAATATTATGTGTCTGTAGAATACTAATTGGCCAGACAAGCAAGATATTTGTAATGAAAAAAAAGTGTGAATACTTTTTTTTTGAAATTCTTTTTAATTGTAGTAAGCTAAATCATGACCGTAAGTTACATGTACTGGGATAATAAAATAGATAAAAGGAATAAATCAAGAAATAAGCATTGTATTAAATTTAATAACCTCTTAAACTTACAGAATTCATCAGAAGAATTAATAATTTTATTGAAAGAATTTTGAAAAAGCATGCCACATTTTTTCATGTGTCTGTTGGCTGCATAAATGTCTTCTTTTGAGAAGTGTCTGTTCATATCCTTCACCTACTTTTTGATGGGGTTGTTTGTTTGTTTCTTGTAAATTTGTTTGAGTTCTTTGTAGATTCTGCATATTAGCCCTTTGTCAGATGAGTAGATTGCAAAAATTTTCTCCCATTCTGTAGGTTGCCTGTTCACTCTGATGATAGTTTCTTTTGCTGTGCAGAAGAAGCTCTTTAGTTTAATTAGATCCCATTTGTCAATTGTGGCTGTTTTGCCATTGCTTTTGGTGTTTTAGTCATGAAGGCTTTGCCTATGCCTATGTCCTGAATGGTAATGCCTAGGTTTTCTTCTAGGGTTTTTATGGTTTTAGGTCTAACATTTAAGTCTTTGATCCATCTTGAATTAATTTTTTGTATAAGGTGTAAGGAAGGGATCCAGTTTCAGCTTTCTACATATGGCTAGCCAGTTTTCCCAGCACCATTTATTAAATAGGGAATCCTTTCCCCATTTCTTGTTTTGCTCATCATCACTGGCCATCAGAGAAATGCAAATCAAAACCACAATGAGATATCATCTCACACCAGTTAGAATGGCGATCATTAAAAAATCAGGAAACAACAGGTACTGGAGAGGATGTGGAGAAATAGGAACACTTTTTCACTGTTGGTGGGACTGTAAACTAGTTCAACCATTGTGGATCTAGAACTAGGATCTAGAACTAGAAATACCACTTGACCCAGCCATCCCATTACTGGGTATATACCCAAAGGATTATAAATCATGCTGCTATAACGACACATGCACACATATGTTTATTGCAGCACTATTCACAGTAGCAAAGACCTGGAACCAACACAAATGTCCATCAATGATAGACTGGATTAAGAAAATGTGGCACATATACACCATGGAATACTATGCAGCCATAAAAAAGATGAGTTCATGTCCTTTGTAGGGACATGGATGAAGCTGGAAACCATCATTCTCAGCAAACTATCACAAAGACAAAAAACCAAACACTGCATGTTCTTACTCATAGGTGGGAACTGAACAATGAGAACACTTGGACACAAGAAGGGGAACATCACACACCGGAGCCCGTCGTGGGGTGCGGGGAGCAGGGAGGGATAGCATTAGGAGATATACCTAATGTAAATGACGAGTTAATGGGTGCAGCACACCAATATGTCACATGTATACATATGTAATAAACCTGCACGTTGTGCACATGTACCCTAGAACTTAAAGTATAATAAAAAAATAAAATAAAATAAAAATTCTTATTAGAAAAAAAAAGAAAAAGCATGGCATAAAACTGTAAGAAGATATTTGTCGTGTATACATCTGGCAAACAAACCTATATCCAGCATATATAAAGTATATCTTTAAAAAAGTGGAAAAGATTGTCAATCCAGCTAAAATGGGCAAATGGTTTAAACAATCACTTCACAAAAGAGGACACCCAAATGATTAATTCAAAATATAAAATTTGATCACTTGTGTCAGAGAAATGCTAATTATGATTCTATAGTGGGCAACAGCACTCACATCTCATAGTTGGTTACTGAGTCCAATAAGTTAATACGAGCACCCCCATCTTACTTATTAATTCTTCCTTCATGGATAAGTCAGGATAAAGATATCTTATTAATATATCCTATCCAAGAAGAAAAGGACGTACCAACTATCTAATTGTGTTTGAGAATACTGAGTCATAGCTTGAGACTCAAAGATTCCATCTTTTAGAATCTCACTTCTCAGTGGAAGCTGAAATTTCACTCTCTCTCCCTGTGTTTTTCTTTTTTTCTTCTCTCGTATTTCTTTGAATTGGTTTCAGTACAAGAAAGCATTAAGCAGTATATATCTATGATGGCAGAAGCACATATTTTTATATTCAAGGTAATTGGAAGCTTTTAATTTCTAAAATGCTGTGCGAGGAATGAGAGTTACTAGACTATGAACCCTTCAAAAGATAAAGAAATCTGTAAGGAGTGGGAACATACAGATGTTAATAAACTATGACAGAGGTGCCATCTCTTCTGGGAAGCCACCTTGGCCCCCTGTTTTCAATACTTGAACACAATTTGAATTTGCATGGTACTATACATATAAACTTATCCTATGTCAGCACTAATAATACTAAATTTCTAACAATGATTTACTATACTTGAGCTTTCTGAGGAAAAAAGTTTATTCAATTTGGTATCCCAACAGTTTAGAGCTTAGAAAATTATATTTGCTCAAACTCTTAATTAAATAAATTAATTCATTATTGTTTTTTTTTACAGTTTCCATGTTTTTCATTCCTCTACTGAAAGTGAAATTTTCATAATTAAAATATTATGTCTGCATCCAGGCAGTTAAGACCTTGATGCATTAATGTTTCAATGTATGTTTATTACTCTGATTTTACTGTGATGACTTCCAAGTGTAAATCTTGAGATGTTGTGTTTATGAAAGTAAATTCTCCAACTGTACTGTGATATTCTTAAAGTGAAATATGAGTTTTATTCATTCGTGCTTCTCCTCAAATAGCATGCCCAGTAGATGCTTAATAAGTTAATATTGGATAAAGGCAGAAAGATGTCATGATACTTATTTCTGCATTTGCTTCTGCAGATTTTCCTTTATATCACACCTGGAATTACAGATGTGAGCCACCACTCTCGGCCCAACAACTGTATTTGTTATAGCCGAAAACTAGAAACAACTCAAATGTTTATGAACACATAAATCGATAAACAAATTGTAGTATATTCTTACAATGGAATATTTTCCAGTAATAAACATGACAAACAATTGAGGTATGAAACAAGTTGTATAAATCTCAGACTAATTATACTAAGTAAAATAAGTTACACCGTTCCAAGTCTAATTCCACCCCCTCAAAAAGATTACATGGCTTATAGTTCAATTTAAGTGAAATGTGCACTAATCTATAGTGGCAGAAAGCAGATCAGTTGTTTCCTGGGAGGAGGGTTGTTTATGGCTAAAGTGAGGGAAGCATTAGGAAGGAACCAAGGAACCAGTTGGTGTGATTTGGCATAATAATATGTTCATTATCTTGATTGTGGGAATGGTCACACCAGTGTTTACATAAGTCAAAACATAACAAATTATACACTTCATGCGAATTTCTTGTGTGTCAATTATACCTCCATAAAAGCTATTTAAAATAGAATTTAATAATATTTTTTCTAATTTGTTATTTATTTTTAACATGAAAAATACGAATTACTAATTTATATATTTCTAAATGTTTTAGGTAAAATATTAAAGCATTTTATTTTTCTTTTCCTTTGTGTAGGATCCATATTTGTACTTGGTAAGCTACATTCAAGATAAACATTTTATTTATTTTCTAAATAAAATATACAATTTTTACATAATTGTTTTCTGACGGAGTTGGACCAAGATACTATGTAATATGTGAGACAAAAAAGCCATATATATCCGTCTATTCAGTCGCCGCCAGTCTGCATTTTATTCCTCATAAGCCTTGATTTTGTTTATCGTTAAACATATAAAGACAATTAAAATACCCTTGGTCTTCTGGATCACAGACTTCAAGAAAGAAACTAAGAAGCCCTGGAATGCCATATTCCTAAGACATAACCTCCATGGGTAGCAGCGCTTTGGGGCGAGGTCCAGGATGACTGAGGAGATCCATGGAGACGGTGATCACAAAGACAGCTTCTGCATGCTCCGTCTCAGAGCCTGCTTGACCTCTTTGTTCCTCAGGCTGTATATCAGGGGATTCAGCATGGGGATGACCATAGTGTAGAATATGGACACTATTTTACTTTGCTCCATGAAGAAGATGGCACTGGGTTGTGCATACATGAAGAAAACAGTACCAAAAAACAAGCACACTCCTGTTAGGTGGGAAGCGCACGTGGAGAAGGCTTTCTAGCGTCCCTGCATGGTCGGGATCCTCAGAATTGTTGAGATGATGTAAATGTATGAGACCAGGACAATCAAAAAGGTACTGACAATAATGGAGCCACATAAACCAAGAAGAACCAGTTGGTTTATAAAGGTATCTGAACATGAGAGGGACAAGAGTGGGGGAACATCACAGAAAAAGTCGTTGATCTCATTGGACCCACAGAAAGGCAACCTGAAGGTCATGGTTGTTTGAGCAATGGCATTGACTACACCCCACAAGTAGGATCCTGATATTAACAGCACACAGACCTGGTGAGACATGCTCACAGAGTACAGAAGAGGGTTGCAGATGGCGATGAAGCGGTCATAGGCCATGGCAGCCAGGAGGAAAGCCTCTGTGATACCAAAGAGAGACAAGAAAAAGAACTGAGCAGCACATCCGCCAAAGGAAATTGTGTGGTCCTCTTGCATGGAGTTCGCCAGAGCCCTGGGTGCAATTGTGGAGGAATAGCAGATGTCCAACAATGAAAGGCTTTGCAGGAAGGCATACATTGGGGTGTGGAGGTGTGCATCTACCCAGATAATTACAATCATGCCAAGGTTTCCCACCACAGCTATGCCATACAGGATCAGAAAAATCAGAAATAGCATAGCCTGCATCCCGGGACCCCCTTGGAACCCAAGTAGAACAAATTCTGAGACATGTGTAAAATTCACCATTGTGTAAGTGCTGAGAGAAAGAGAATGAGAGAGAGAGGGAGGGAGAGAGAAAGAGAAAAAGAGAGAGAGAGATGGGAGAGGAGGAGGAGGAAGAAGGAAAACACTTATAAGCCAACGCAAAAATTATTTAATGCAATAATGTCTTGGTCTGCTGTGTTTGGTATTTCATGTAAAGAGAAAAGTTCAGCTGTAAGAGAAAGAAATGGGAAATAAATCATTTATGTAGAAATAGTCTGCCTCTATAAATATGGCTCCATATAATTCAACTCTAATCTCAAAATACTCATGTATTTTGAGTAATTTTTTTCACTCCACATCATTAGCTTTTTTTTTAATCTAAAGAGGTCTCAAAATCAGAGCAGAAAGACATGATGACACCTGAGACTCAACTATTTAGTTAGTTTTTCTTTACAAGAATTGTTATCTGGGCTGAGGGAGATGCTGGCAAGTGGAGTTGATTATGTTTGTAAAATCAATTAACTTAGAGTTTTTGGTCACATTTCTATTAGTTTCCTGGTACTATTAAAACAAATTATCTTAGATTTAATAGTTTTAAGCAATAGGAATTATTTAATTTACAGTTCCAGAGGACAAAAGTGCAGAGTAAGCTTTAAAGGCCTATAATATGTTAGCAGGCTCATGTTTCTTTTGGAGGCTCCAGAGAAGAATGTGTTTGCTTTCCTTTGCCAGCCTCTGAAGTCCACCTGTATCCAATGGTCTATGGCCCCTTTTTCTGCTTTTAAAGCCAGCAGCACAGCATCTTCTCTCCAACCTCTGCCTCTGGTCTTACATCTCCTGTACCTGACCATCCTACTTCCCTCTTAGAAGGACCTTAGTGATGACATTGGATCCTTCCAGATAAACCAGGATGGTATCTCATCTCAACATTTTTAATATTCACATCTGCAAATTTCCTTTTACCATGTAAGGTAATATATCCACAGGCTTCATAATTTACCATATGGACATCTTGGAAGGGCACTCTTTATCCTACCATACTATCTGTTTGATATATTTTGAATCGATTTATGACATTTTGGTTATATTATAAGGTGAAAGAAATCTAACAATATGTGCTAGGTTTGTGATACAAATTAGACCTTTTTATTGTAATCATTGATGTGGCTTCTTTCTAAATCAGTGATTATCAACCTATTTTTATTTCTTTTTACCTATAATAGCTCTCTCTCTCGTACATTCCATTATTTATTAAATATTATATACAAAACAATAATATATTTAGGCAGTTTACCTTAGGACTACTTGAACTATAATAAGTTGGAATTCCATTGTGGGGAGTGACTTCCATCTGTGGAATAGGAAGCATGGGATAGAGCAATGCATATGTGTGTAAGTGTGCATGTATACGTGTGTGTGTTTGCATGTGTGTGGTAATTTGTCATTTGGAAATTTCCTGATACTGTTTCTTACTCTATACAAAATGGAAATAAACATACCCTGGGAAGATTCAAAGACAGAGTAAATGGACATTTTTATTCAGAATAAATGCAAAATGGAGATGAATTTGCTCTCTTTTCTTATGAACTGTACCATGGTTCATAAAATTTGTACCATTAATTAAATAACTCTTAATTAATTTATTTCTCAGTGAGAAGGTATCAGAAACTTTTTTTAAAAATTCATTACAACTTTCAATTCTCCAGATCTTTGGGATTTCATGAAACTGTAATCATACTTCTATGATTTTTTGACTTTTCCTTGTGTTCTGATAATTTAGCCTAACTAATATGAGAGCACACTGTTTCTATGTAAGCTTCAGGCTCCAAGAGAAGATTGTGCTGTTTACTTCACTGATCAAACTTGAGCAACTAGAATAACACTTGGCTGAGATTCAAGACTCAAATAAATGTATTGAGTGAATGAATAAATGATTCCTCAATGAATGGAATTGATTTCATGAGTGGAACTGATTTCACATGCTTTTCATAATGGGCAGAGTATAATACAATTTGTTACTTTGAGTATTAGAGTTTATGTTGTTGGAAGTCTAGAGTCCAAGATCTAAAGTAAAGTCTAAGTAGAAACAAACAAATCACAAAGCCATTCCATGCTTAAGGAAAGCAAAGCAAGTCATTTTTATGTTAAACAGTAGTTACAGCTTATGGTCATAAGTGCATGCTGCTGCACTTTTGGGATCCAATAAACAAGGTGTGGATAGTATTATTTTATCTTAGAAGGAGGCAAATTCTAGAGTGGTGTAAACTAAATGACTCCCAGAGAAGCAATGCATGTTCTCATCTCACCAAAGGCCATTCATTTTCCTAGAAAAATCAGTGCAACAGAATCTCACAAACAAAAGGAAGTATCAGCAACAACCACAGAAAAATTATGTACCTGATTTTTGCTTTTTTGAACACTGGAGGACTTAACATTCATTTAACCGAAGGTCCCAGTTTTGGGTGCTTTGATATGAGTATTCATGGTTGCACTGTAATATTAGTGGTGATTAATTATTAATTAATATTACATTGGCAAAAACCACAATTACTTTTGCACCAATCTAATAAACTGATATAGAAAATAAAAGAGCACAAACTTAATTCTGAGATAAAAAGCTAACATTTATTGGACAATTGCTATAGGCTAATCAATCTAAAAAATGTTTAAATGGTGTTATTTTATTTAATGTTCACAGAAGCCCTATGTGCCACATGCTAATATTAGTAAGTTCTACAGGGGAAATTAAGAAATGTTCCAAGTTTTCCTTCTAGAAAATAACCGAGTTTTTCTGCCTGACTCCAGGGCCTATTCTCTTGCCCTCTCATTGACTTGCCATTGTTTTAATCCAAGCCCACATGTCAGGATCAGTGTCTCTGGCAATGCTGTGTGCTAATGTGTTTCGGATTTTTTGCTGGATCATTATCCCTTGGTGCAAAACATTCATTGTACTCACTAGAATCCCACTATCTTAAGAGGTAGCACAATGCAAGTCATCAAGCATGGTATCTAATTCTGATTAGGTCAATAATGAGTTTTGTGATGAGAAATATATGCATAAAACCTTCTGAGACAGAAGCCTTGAAATAGCTGATTGCCAAGATTCATTCATTGTTAATACTATTACTTTTTCTTCATTGTATTATATCTTACTCTATCTGTTTGTTATATCTGTGGAAATAAGGTGGAAAATCTAATGAAACATTAACCATGATGTCACAATACTTCGGTGTTTCTTTGGATTAATATTATAAAAAATACCAACTTATAAGTGAAAGAATATTTGAGGATATGATGGTGTGAAAAATCAATGTAATGTTAGAGTGTTCCCTGAACGCTAAATCAGGAAATGCATTTCTAGCTCCTAATCAGCCAATAGCCCGATGAAAAAGTTGAGCAATGTGCTTTGTGATGTTCGGTAGTAAGATGGATTGAGCAGATTTCCCATCCGAGGCAGGGGCCTAACCATTATAGAAACACTGGGTCATTTGATTCTTCTGAAAACCATATGAGGTTTTACTGTAATTACTCTCATTGTACAGAGAGGAAAAACAAGATTGAGAAAGTCAGAGGCTTTATCCAAGTTCATACTACTAATAAACAGGGAAGTCACACTGTGAGCTCAGACAATTTGGCTCCAGAACCCACACCACTATGCCTATTTATTAGAGACAGGAATAAACTGTTCATAATTTTAAATTTTGTCTTTTTACATATACAAAATGAAATCAAAGCATTATTATTTTTATGATACACTTGTATTTTAAATTTGTATCAGTGATCCTCAACTTAAAAGATCTAAATATTGGTCTACGTGCTTTTAAATAACGATGATACATGATGTTGTAGAAATACATTTTACTCGTGTGAAAGAAACACAGTGATATGGGCACTATACTACAAAGAGTCAATGGAATACAGTGGTTAACATCAAGAACTCTGGGGCCAGAAGCCCTGGGTTCAAACACTTGTACTCGCTTGGACAAATGCCTCATTCTTTTTATATTTTATTAGTCTGACCCGTCAAATGTAAGTATTAAAAGCATGTGCTTCATTGTGAGGGCTAAAGCATTTCATAGATGAAAGTACTTTGGAGATCTCTTGGTAAATAAGAAGCACAATGTAAGTATTTCCATTATTAATAATATTATGTTTAGTACAATGTAAGTGCAATGCACATATTGTCATTATTGTTTTTAGTATAGTAAATAAAATCTAAGTCAGTATTAATATTATTATTGAGTCCATTATTGACCAATACTATTTGTTTTGTCTTGTTTTGTTTTGTTTAGAGATGGGGTCTCACTCTGTCACCCAGGCTGCAGTGCAGTGGTGTGATCTCGGCTCACTGCAACCTCTGCCTCCTTGGCTCAAGCGATTCTCCTGCCTCAGCCTCCTGAGTAGTGGGGATTAAAGGCACCTGCCACCACGCTGGCTAATTTTTGTGCTTTTAGTAGAGACAGTGTTTTACCATGTTGGCCAGGCTGGTCTCGAACTCCTCGGCCCTGGCCTGCCAAAGTGCTGCCAATATTGTTTTAATTGAGGTCTGCCATTTTCATAGATTAATTGGCGTTCATCAGTAAACTGTGATTGACTTGTATTTCTCATCTAATTTACTAGAATTTATATCCATTTAATTGAATTGGTTACAGGGTCTTTGTATAATCATGTTACATTCTCAGTAAAACAAATCTCACCTAAATTTCATGCGTGACTTCTTTCTCTTTCTCGCTGACTCTCGGGTGCCTCATCAACTCTGCAGTTAGTGAAGTCCACACAAAATGTCCACAGCACTGTTTTTCCAGGAATAAGAGTGAGAATTATAATATTGTTTTCCTCAGTGTTGGTCATTTGAGATTTATTCCCCAAGGTTTTATTGTAACAAGAATGGTTTGACTCACTCAAGTGCTATAACTTGGCAAGAAGGCAGAATGAAGTCCCAGAGTAAAGATTTGAGAGCAAAACATGATGCCAATCATGATGCCTATCTTTTAAACAATAATAAGTATACCATACTTGTCAGTTTTGAGGATGAAAACTTTAATAGAATTTGATCTGCTTTTACTTTAGGCCCCATGACCACAGATCTAGAACAGTATAAACACATATGATCAAATCTATATAACATCTGTCAGGTGCCTAAATTTCTGATGACCTAAGCAAATTCAAGGATAAAAATACATTATTTAGATATATTTCTTAATACATTTAAAGTTATATTTGGGTTACTGTGATTTTAATAGAAAATAGGTAGTGAACAAGAAGTAAGGACTTTGCTTTATGTGTTTCTGATTATAATGACAATGAATATCCAAAGCACTTATAATAATTGCTGTTAATATATGTTAGGTATTAACCCATATAACACAAGAAAGTGATTGCTTATATTATCTTTGAAATATTTATACACAGCGTATTATTTCCTGAATTGTGTATTAAAAAATTAAGGGACTGAAACATCAAGAAAGCATTGATTTTCCGTTCCTGAGTTACTTCACTTAGAATAATAGTCTCCAGTTGCATCCAGGTTGCTGCGAATGCCATTTATTCATTCCTTTTTATAGCTTTAGTAGTATTTCTTCATACATATATACCACAGTTTCTTTATCCATTCATTGATTGATGGGCATTTGGGCTGGTTCCACATTTTGGCAATTGTATATTGTGCTGCTATAAACATGTGTGTCCAAGTATCTTTTTCGTATAATGACTTCTTTTCCTCTGGGTAGATATCCAGTAGTGGAATTGCTGTATCAAATAGAAGATCTACCTTTAGTTCTTTAAGGAATCTCCACACTGTTTTCCTTAGTGGTTGTACTAGTTTACATTGCCACCAGCAGTGTAGAAGTGTTCCCTTTTCACTGCATCTGTGCCTACATTTATCACTTTTTGATTTTTTGATTATGGCTATTCTTGCAGGAGTAAGGTGGTATCGCATTGTGGTTTTTATTTGCATTTCCCCGATAATTAGTGGTGTTGATAATTTTTTCATGTTTTTTGGCTATTTGTATATCCTTTCTTGAGAATTGTCTATTCATGTCCTTAGCCCACTTTTTGATGGGGTTGTTTTTTTTTGCTTTTTGTTTGAGTTCATTGTAGATTCTGGATATTAGTCCTTTATTGGATGTATAGATTGTGAAGATTTTCTGCCACTCTGTGTGTTGTCTGTTAACTCTGCTAATTATATATTTTGCTGTGTAGAACCTTTTTAGCTTAATTAAGTCCCATCTATTTATCTCTGTTTTTGTTGCATTTGCTTTTGGGTTCTTGGTCATGAAGTCTTTGCCTAAACCAATGTCTAGAAAGGTTTTTCCATCGTCATCTTCTAGATCAAATAAATAAGAATATTTAAACCTAATAAAAAAGCCTATAGAATTTGTATATTAATAATATAATTCATTAGTTTTTCATTAACTGATGGCATCCATATACACAGCACCCATCTCAAGAAACAGTATCACCAGCACTATAGAAAAAAATTTTAAAGAGTTCCCTCAAGGTTATCTTTTATAATTTTCACACTCATATACTTATTTAATCAATATAAAAATTTTATAATATATTTTATATACTTTTTACAGAAGTAGAAATGGAGTCACTTAAGATTCAGGTAATGTCCTCAAGGCTTGAAAGCAAATAATTGTGGGGCAGTGATTGTTTCAAATTGTTGGACAATAGAACTGCAGTTTACAGTATGTGGCTACTGGCCATATTGGACAATTATATCTCAATTTAAATAAAATAAAATTAACTATAATTTAAAGTGCCACTTTTTTATTAAACTAGCTACTTTTCAAGCGCTCATTTGCCACATGTTGTTCCACATAAGAAACAATACCAACACAGACCATTCTTATTAATACAGCAAGTTCTACTGGGGAGTACTGCTCTGCAACCTTCATGCTTAACTCCTATACTATCCTTCATTCATCCAATGCAATATTCTGTGATGGAAATTTAAGCCTCAAATTTCTAAGACTTAATGAAACTTTATTTTTCTATTACAGCATATGCCTAATATAGGACAGAGGGAAATTCTGCTACCTATTTCTTCTAAGGTGCCAAACTAACTATTGAGGCACCATCTTTGGAAACTGGCATTTTTTTTTTGAGATGGAGTTTCCCTCTTGTTGCCCAGGCTGGGGTGCAACGGTGCAACCTCGGCTCGCTGTAACCTCGGCTCACCGCAACCTTGGCTCACCGCAACCTCCACCTCCCAGGTTCAAGTGATTCTCCTGCCTCAGCCTCCCGAGTAGCTAGGATTATAGGCATGCACCACCTTGCCTGGCTAGTTTTGTATTTTTAGTAGAGACAGGGTTTCTCCATGTTGAGGCTGATCTCAAACTCCCTAGCTCAGGTGATCCGCCTGCCTTAGCCTCCCAAAGTGCTGGGATTACAGGCATGAGCCACCACACCCGGCTGGAAATTGGCATTATAACACTAATATTTAGGTTTCTAAGTCAGGGAAAATTAGTAACACGAAGAATTCATGCACGTGCATGTTCACTGCAGCACTATTCATGATAGCAAAGACATGGAATCAACCCAAATGCTCATCAGTGATAGACTGGATAAAGAAAATGTGGTACATATACACCATGGAATACTGTGCAGCCATAGAAAAGAAGGAGATCATGTTCTTTGCCACAACATGGTGGAGCTGGAGGCCACCATTCTAACCATAAGTGGGAACTAAGCCATAAGGATACAAAGGCATAAGAATGATACAGGGACTTTGAGGACTCGGGAGGAAAGGGTGGGAAGGGGGTTGAGGGATAAAAGACTACAAATTGGGTTCAGTGTATACTGCTCGGGGGATGAGTGCACCAAAATCTCACAAATTACTACTAAAGAGCTTACTCATTTAACCAAATAACACCTGTTCCCCAAAAACCTATAGAAATAATTTTTTTTAAAAAAAAGATACATAACAGGTCAGGTGCGGTGGCTCACACCTGTAATCCCAGCACTTTGGGAGGCCAAGGCAGGCAGATCACTTGAGGTCAGGAGTTCGAGACCAGCCTGGCCAACATAGTGAAACCCCATCTCTACTAAAATTACAAAAATTAGCCAGGCGCGGTGGTACGCACATGTAGTCTCAGCTACTCGGTGGCTGAGGCAGGAGAATCGCTTGAACCCAGGAGGCAGAGGTTGCAGTGAGCCGAAATCAGACCACTCCACTCCAGCCTGGGCAATGGAGCAAGACACTGTCTCAAAAAACAAATAAACCAAAAAACACACACAAAAAACAGAACATTTCCATCACCAAAGGATCCCTCATATAGCCCATTTTTAACTACACCTCCTTACCTTCCACTTCTCTTCCGTCTTCCATTCCCTACCCCTGCAACAACTAACCTGTACTTTATTTTTATAATTGTCATTTTAAGAACGTTATGCAAATATTTAATAGAATCATATGACATGTAAAAAAAAAGAAAGCATTGAAACATTATTTACAGAGTAAACTGATGGAGTTAGAATTTGAATAAAATGCAAACTAACTTCATGGATTATGCAGTTTGCCCTCATATTCCCTGAAGACTTATTGAAATTGTTTCTATTCCATAAGGATTAAATTCTAGTATGCATTTTGGGAAACTTGATAAAACGAAATGATCTCTCTTATTTAGAAATCTAGCACTATGATTGAAAAAAAGTATAAGGAATGCAAAAATGTCATCCATGATGTATAAAATGTTGTGCATGTTGTGGGGGAAAATGTGGACAAACAACAAAGTAAATAAATACCTTCATGTCTGCATGTGTTTGCGATTGAGTAATAAAATTGACACAAAGATTTTAAAAAAACACAGCAAAGGAGGTGTGTAATGATAGACAGCAACAGAAGTTTTAAAGGCAGAAAATACACAGGGTTTAGGAAATCTGTTAGGAGGAGACAGAAAATTGATTTATGGTGAAAAGAAATGTATGCTTACATAATTTCTACCTAATCCTTTTAGAAAGGAAAACAAGCAAACTGGGTTTGACTGTACTTAATACTTTTTAAATTTTTCTTAACCAGGCTTAAGAGGTGGGTAACTTATATGTGAACTTCTGGAGTAACAGAAGGTAATATCAACTTTTCACATAAGCTTGCCTAATTAAAAACATTTTCTTGAAAGATCAATGAAACAGCATAGAGCATCCAGAAAGAGGCTGATACATTTATGATCAAAATATTGTCAAGAAAGACATCAAAGCTATTGGAAAATCTCTTCAAAATATTATGTTGGAAAAACTGTATATCCATATTGGAAAAAAACTATTAACTACTACCTCATACTGTACACATTTAATTTGAGAGAAATCATAGAGTTGAGCATAAAATGTAAAATTCTAAGGTTTTAGAAGAAAGCAGTGGGGTACGCAAAAACTTCTTTTAAAGACACAGAAAGCACTAATCTTAACCAAAATGATAAAATTGACAGGATATTAAATATATATGCATATCAATAGACGTATTGAAGAAAACAAAAAGGCAAGCCACTGTGGGAAAGTATTAACACACGTGTATTTAATCATGGATTTGTGTTCTAAATGTATATTGAACTCCTGCAATACAATAGTAATGACAAAGAATCAAGTTAAAACACGAAAAAACAGACTTGAAAGACACTTAACACAACATAATATACAAATGTCCAATAAGCAATGAAATAAAGCTTAATATCATCTGTAATCAGGGAAATCCAAACTAAAGCCATGATAATTGACCACTATCCATTAGAATATCTAAAATTTTAAAAGTTCAACAGCATCAAATGTCACAAAGGATGTAGAGTACCTCCACATTTCTCTTCTGTTGCTGGTAAAAATGTAAAATTCAACAACTTTGGAAAACTATTTGACTGTTTCTTAAAAAGTTAAATGTACTTCTACTCTATGACCAGCAATTTCAATTGTATATATATACCAAAAAGAAATGAAAATATATGTCCACAGGAAGCTATGCATGAGAATTTTCAAAAATCTTTATCAACAACTATATTTTAGATTTAGGCAAAATCTAAAAACTGCTCTGGTGTCAAGTGTTCTGAGAATGGATAAACTGTAAGATACCCATAAAAAGGGATATCAATCATCAACAAAAAAGGAACAAACTACTGAATCTCAAGGCCCCATGATGAATCACACACACAATTTAAAAATCTCAATGAAAGGGAACAGACAGAAAAATCAGCATACTATATTACTCTAAATATAAGAATTCCTAGAATAAGTAAAACTAACCCATAGAGGTAGAAATCAGATCTGTGACTGCTTTCAAAGGAGAAGCCTGAGTTTCAAGGGGCCAAGATAACTTTCTGGGGTGGTGGAAAAGTCCTGTGATTTGATAGGAGTGTGGGTTACACAAGTTAACTGAATGCATTTGTTAAAACCAATTAAACTGTACATTTGAGATCCATACATTTTATTGTATTTAACTGACACCTCAACAAAACAATAATATATAATAAAATATTTTTTATAAACAAAAAATGAGAGATTGTGTAGAATTGATCTTCATACAATCTTAACTTGGAAACGTAAAAATGCTACAATTATTTGTCCACAACCTGGACTTTGAAAGGGCAGGAACTGTAAAATATTTCATTTGTGGACAGAATCAGACCTGATATATTCATAAGTTTAAGTATTTCCAAAGCGTATTCAGAAATGACTTCTTTGATTAATATTTATTTAGTACCTACTGTACTCTAGATACTGACCTGATCTTTGGGAAAACAATAGCATTTGAGAAGAGTTACCTCGTGCAGACATTCAAATGCTGATAAATTTCTACTAAATATTTTTTAGGCATGGTAGATTACTGAAATGTTGTATTTTGAAACATTTAATCCACAAGGTCAAAAAATTATATTAAGCACCATCTAAGTAATTTTATAATTACTTAACTGAAAATAATTACACTTACATAAACATAATTAAGATGATTTTATCAAGACACCAAATGCTTTCCTACGTTTCTACATTTTCAAAGGTAGACTCATTCAAAGGCTGAATTAACAATGAGGTGATTCATATCTACATTCAAGGTTGACAACAAGAAAAAATTCAGAGTTTAGAAGATAATCAGTTTAATTAATTGGAAGAAATAACACAATTTGAGGAGATCCAGAAATACATTTCCAAAGAAGGGGAAGCAAAAGGTGGTCTTCTCATGGAATGATCCTGAGACCAATTTAGAGTGTGGATCTCTGACTGTGAATACATGCAAGAACGAAGCTTGGCCAGCTGCATCCCCCACAGACTGGAGAGAAGAATGAGCTGCTTTGAACGCATTAAGGGAATCTTCACATCATTTCTACTGAACTTCATTTCTAAGATGCATTAACCCACTTAATAAATTCAAGACATATTAAAACTCCAGACATCTGCAAATTCAGAAGAACTGGCAACGTGAGGAGAAACAGAAACTATTTTTCTCTTATGAAGGAAGACCTGGTGCAGAAAAGATTGTCCTATTGAAGTCAGATTTTGTCTGTGATCCTGAGGTTTGATCAGTTCCTCACAGAGCAGGCTTAGATCCTGAAACTCTGAGCCATCAGAGCTCAACATTTTCCTTCTTTTGGTGATCTGATAACCCAGATGATTCTATGGTCCTCTCAACTTTCCCAAATTCCACATTTATATCAATGAAACATGACGATCCTTTTGTAAAAATTCAAAGTCAATTCCTGTTTTAGTAAATTTATTTTGCTCCATGCGATTTATCCAAGATGGATACCTTTCCATTTATTTGTGTCTTTTTCAGTTTCTTTAATCAATGTTTTTTAGTTTTCATTGTACAGATCTTTTACTCCCTTAGTTAAATTTTTTGCTAAGGTTTTTTAATGTTATCATAAATGGGATTGTTTTCTTAATTTTGTTGACAGCTAGGTTTTATTTATTTATTTATTTATTTATTTATTTATTTATTTATTCTGAGATGGAGTCTTGCTCTGTCACCCAGGCTGGAGTGCAGTGGTGCGATCTCAGCTTGCTGCAACCTCCGCCTCCCGAGTTCAAGTGATTCTCCTGCCTCAGCCTCGTGAGTAGCTGGGATTACAGGTGTGTGCTACCATGACTGACTAATTTTTGTATTTTTAGCAGAGACGGGGTTTCACCATATTGGTCAGGCTGGTCTTGAACTCCTGACCTCGTGATCCGCCCACCTCGGCCTCCCAAAGTGCTGGGATTACAGGTGTGAGCCACTGCTCCCGGACAGGTCATTATTTATGTATAAAAATACTACTGATATTTGTTTGTTGATTTTGTATTCTATAACTTTACTGAATTTGTCTATTATTATGGTATAAATTTAATATAGTATAGGTGTGCTATTCCAACATCCTTACTGCAGTGCCTGTGGACAGCTCATGGCTACCCCAGGCATTCCCCATCCATAAACAGTTATTAATTGTGATTCTATCACCAGACCCACCACACATTGTCTCCTTCGGTCCCCCTCTGACCTTTGCCATTACACACACACACACACACACACACACACATCTATTAGATAGAAATTAGTCAAAAGTGGAGTTTTGCTTGGATGTCAAATTATTAACATGAAGCTTACCATTCACCCCATCTCTTCATAGGCACGAGTTAAAGTAAATCAAATTTTGTTTGGCAGTGACACAAATATATTTTGTCTTCTTGAATGTAAGCAACTATTACCTGGGTATTTTTATAAGGTTTAACATGCACAAATAGAGCACGCAAACGTAGGTCTATGTTTCACCGTGTCGGCCGGGACGGTCTCGATCTCCTGACCTTGTAATTTGCCCACCTCGGCCTCCCAAAGTGCTGGGATTACAGGCGTGAGCCACCACACCCAGGAGCTTCATAACTTCTCTAAGTGTTGTTTCTTTCTCTCTAAAAGGAAAATTAACTGTCTCAAAGCTGTTTTAGGTATTACCTGAGAGGATGCATGAAAAGCCACTTCATAGTGCACCACACATGGTAATTATTAACAGAGCATCCCTGTTTTGCTCCTTTCCAGGTTTCTAATTCCAAAGTGTTTTCAGTAGCTCATGGATCTTCTGCAAGAGTCTAATGCTTAATACTTATGTTCTAAAAGAATTTACAAAAGCTATTAAGTTATCCACATTGTATGAACTCTGAGACATACATTATCACTAAACATAAATGTAAATAAATCTCCTTTCAATTGATAATATAGAGGTCTTCCCCATATTAGAAAAAAATGTATAAATGTGTTTGTAAATATATATGTACACTTATACAGACATACACAAATTGTTTATGTATATAATATACAACGTATACCTTTCACTATATATATGTGTGTGTGTCTGTATACATATATATACACACACATGTATAGTATACATATATATATACACACGTATAGTATACATTAAGGTTATTTGAATGTTTGTCATTGTAGTCTGTTCTTATATTTACCTAAATACATTAAACCAAAAACTATGTGTTTAATAAAATATTGATTTCAATAAAGAAGAATAAATGCATCTTTGGATTCAGATAAATGGGCCTGTGTTTCAAATGTTTTGAATACTGGTTGGTTTAGCTGTAGTCTTCAGACTAAGTTATATACTGTGGAGTAACGGTGTAGCTCATGGTATGAGTTAAAACTATTTATCTATGTATATATCTGCAACCACCCGCACACATAATCTTTATCTAATGTACAGTGAAAAATCTCATTTCCAAACACACTCTCTTTTGGTTTTCATTTTTATTGGCACATATTTGATTATCCCAGCCATTAATTCATTAGATGATCAGAAGCTTCAGGATAACCTCTGGGTCTATGCACAATTCAAGGTTTTTATATAAATATTATAGTTTTTATAGCAACTAAATGAGATAAGTAGTATTTGTATTTTTATAGATGAAAAACTAAAACATACAAAATATAATACCTTGTGCAAGGTCAAGCAACTATTAATTAATTTACAAATGAAGATTTGAACCAAAATGTGTCTTACTCCAAAAGTGGTTGTTTATATCACTGTATCTCTCTTTAGCACTAGGGAGACAGGATAAGCTGCAAGTTTTATGGAGATGGAATAGATAGGTTTGTAAAATTGTGGCTTCAGTTTCCCATCTTTTTGTATCATTCATTCACCCAAGCACCCTGTAAAGAAAACAAGAATGTATCTTGGAACCTTCATGAGCTTTCATGCTTTCTTCCCGCATACAATATTTCCCCCTGTGTTTGCCTTCTCTTCAAAATAAGAGAAAAACCAATTTATAAACTAAAGTCATTAGAAGCTAAATTTAGAACTTCATGAAGCCTCTTGGGTGCTGATCTCAAGGGACAAAACTGTGCCATGTTAAAGGCCTGCCCCCCTTTGTATTATCAAAATAAATGAATCTAACCAAATACTCACCCCGTGAGATACTGTTATTCTCTGTCGAAAGAAACACACTTGTCTATATCTCATTCTTCTCTTTTTCACTCTTGACTAGAAATCTGAATCAATGCATAGGTCCATCTATGCTTTTGTGATTGGATATTCAGGAAAGAGAAAAGTCATAGGTGGCAAAGGTCTCAGAAAAGGGTATGTATTCATACATTTTTTTCTTTGTTTTAGTGAAGACATACCTAATGTATAATCCTTTGAGTTGTAATGCATGGAAGTTTTTTGACGAAGCTGTTAAGCATTTCAATGGTGGACTAACTTTTTCCAAATCCTAGTTGAGAAAATTTTGAAATTAAGATGATGTGCTGCAAATGAGAATATAGAATTAAAAGATATCTTGCAAAACTCATATATTCATTATATAATCAAATGATTTCTCCAGAATTTTTCATTCATTTGTTGTTTCCATAAGCACTCTTTTGCACCAACTCTGTGCAAACTACGTGCATATATGTGTTATATCCTAAGGATTCAATATAATAAATCGCAATTCTTTCCTTAAAATTTCACTAACTACAATGAAGTAGACCAAGAAAAAGGGGAATTGTTATGCTTGTCATGAAAGGAATATTGTATAGTGAGTATGAGATTAATAAAAATGATGTAACTGATAGTGCCTACAGGGGAAGGAGACTGTCTTTGAAAGAGTGCTTCTCCCTCAAAGGCATGCAAATACATGCATAGTTTCTTTTCCGTACAGATTTTATCCTGACATGCTTCAAGTTGGGTAAAAGGGGGTGCATGGAACTTAATTAAAGTTGACAGGAATCAGAGGAAGATGAATGTAATAATTAGTGTTAGTGAGGTTTCTGATTAAGTTGGAATTCAAAACATTGTAATAGAAACAAATACACTGCATTGTGTTCTCTAGGGTTAATCAGCTGTCTTAGCATAAAACCAGAACATGTATATTATCTAGTGCTACATTATGTTATTTTCATTAGGATCCTTGTCATACAAATCAATAAAATAGAAGTCCTAGATAACTCTTGGAATATTGTGAGAAAATAATGATACTTGGACTAAAAATTCCAAATCTCTTCCCACTTCTACAACATGTCCTTTACTTGATAGCCATATGGCTTAAATAACATAACTGAAATAATATAGGTTTGAAAAGACTAGAAAGGCCTCAGATGTCAAGGAGAACGTTTGGGAAGGTATCACAAATTTTGCTTCAGTCAGAAAAAAACTTTGGTCCTAAATTGTGCACAGCACCTGGATCATAGAAATTGCTCAATAAATGTTTGCTGAAGGAAAGTACGGATTACATGAATGATGTATGTTTGCTTGCTTATTGTTATACAACACTTTGTATAATTTGATAATTTTTATAATTAAAAAGAAGGTATAAATTGGATTGATACAGAAGTGAGAAGTTGGAGAGTACAGTGAGGGACGTCAAGAAGTAAGACACTCTATGAAAAATGTTGATAGGTATGGGAGAATACTGGCACCTTCTAGAGAAGGTAGTATGACCAAGATGCTACAAGGAAGGGTCCTGAAAGCACAGGCCACAAACACTGGGCTCTCAATGACTTACTACACAAGTCAGAGGCTCCACCAAATGATGAGCAGAGACCAAAACAGCAATGGTCAACCCAAGGAACAGAGGTGAGCTTGCAGTTATCAGTGACCAAATACGTTAAAAGAAAAGAAAGCTAACATGAGGATATCTTCCATCATAAGTATAAGCATCAGATTGGGAGGAAAATTATTTATTAGAGGTAAATATTTCTACTGGGTAAGCATAAATAGCTTGACTACTAAAAAAATAACAAATAACCTTATATATAAAGTCGATATGAATTTTGTGGTTACTGTAGGCAAGGCAAAATAACCCAATTAAAATGGTTATTATTCACATAATTTGCATTTTCTTTTGGGGGAAGAAGTCAGTCTTGAAAGAAGTTGATACTGACATGTCCAGCATGTCTATGTGACTATGAAGACAGAATATCATGAACACAAGATGTCATTGGAAAGCATTCAAGCAAGCAAGTTTGGATGCTACTTACCTGCGCACGCATGCACACACACACACACACACACACACACACACTGTCTCTCTCTCATGAATAAGAGACTTAACACTGCTGGCTTTTACAATTTAATAACTTATTTTTCTAGATTTGTTGGGAATATGGAAAAAAGAAATCTAACAGTTGTCAGGGAATTCGTCCTTCTGGGACTTCCTAGCTCAGCAGAGCAGCAGCACCTCCTGTCTGTGCTCTTTCTCTGTATGTATTTAGCCACCACCTTGGGGAACATGCTCATCATTGCGACGATTGGCTTTGACTCTCACCTCCATTCCCCTATGTACTTCTTCCTTAGTAACTTGGCCTTTGTTGACATCTGCTTTACGTCGACTACAGTCCCCCAAATGGTAGTGAATATCTTGACTGGCACCAAGACTATCTCTTTTGCAGGCTGCCTCACCCAGCTCTTCTTCTTCGTTTCTTTTGTGAATATGGACAGCCTCCTTCTGTGTGTGATGGCGTATGATAGATATGTGGCGATTTGCCACCCCTTACATTACACCGCCAGAATGAACCTGTGCCTTTGTGTCCAGCTAGTGGCTGGACTGTGGCTTGTTACTTACCTCCACGCCCTCCTGCATACTGTCCTAATAGCACAGCTGTCCTTCTGTGCCTCCAATATCATCCATCATTTCTTCTGTGATCTCAATCCTCTCCTGCAGCTCTCTTGCTCTGACGTCTCCTTCAATGTAATGATCATTTTTGCAGTAGGAGGTCTATTGGCTCTCACGCCCCTTGTCTGTATCCTCGTATCTTATGGACTTATCTTCTCCACTGTTCTGAAGATCACCTCTACTCAGGGCAAGCAGAGAGCTGTTTCCACCTGCAGCTGCCACCTGTCAGTGGTGGTGTTGTTTTACGGCACAGCCATCGCCGTCTATTTCAGCCCTTCATCCCCCCATATGCCTGAGAGCGACACTCTGTCAACCATCATGTATTCAATGGTGGCTCCGATGCTGAATCCTTTCATCTATACCCTAAGGAACAGGGATATGAAGAGGGGACTTCAGAAAATGCTTCTCAAGTGCACAGTCTTTCAGCAGCAATAATGACCTCAGTGACTGAATTAAATAATACTAATGTGGTGATAAGAAAGTGTGACTAGATGCTCACAATAACAGTGAGAAGAGAAACCAACTGCTATTAAATGTCTCCCTTATGCTGGAAATCGTGTTAAGCACTTTATATGAATTATCACATTAAATCCTCTGAGTAAATATATAAAAACCATATAGCATTCTTTATACAGAAAGTGAATCTTAGGGAAGTTAAATAGTCTGCATACAACCCATAGCTGATAAATAGTTTCTGACTCCAGTACAAATATACCTTAGTGATGAGAATCTCTGTGATATAGTTCCCAAATGCTACATATTAAGATAAATTTTCCTAAACTTCTTGTCTGTGAGTTCAGATTTAGAATTAAAGGGGCATAAATTCTAATGTTAATTCGACAATGTGGTAGAACACATTTTAAATAGTGAGTCTTCTTAAAAATCACTAAAATAATTTATTCAAGTTTTAAAGTATGTATGCTTTCCTCCAATCCCCTCTCACTTCAAATACAGTCAATGATTTTATTCTATTGACACATGTCCTTGTCATGTGTGTCCCTAACTGATCTCAGGCATGGAGGAACTCAGAATCTCCCAGCCATCTTTATAGGGCAGAGGCTAACTGATCTCCCCCAACAACTAGGAGTGCTTTGGGTATACAATATCTTTAGAGAAGAGATCAGGTTCTCAGCTGCATTTTTCATATGGGGAATACATTAACTTCTTTCAAAACAAAGCCTCATGCCCAATCCCTTGGGTTTTATTTTATCTTGCTTTCCTAACAAAAAATTAACATACTGTATGCAAAAATAATTATATTTGAGGTCATTCAATTAAATAGACTCCATTTAAGATATTAACCATCCAATCCAATCTAATTGTTTATTCAACCTATTCCGGTTCCTTTCTACAATTTTACATCTGAGAATGAACTAAGATCATTTCTGCTTGTCCTTTTCTAGAATTAAAATGTCTGCTCACAGACCTCTGTAATTTCTTGAACGAACACATGTATAATATTTAAAACCTTATAAACACACACGTGCACCCTTTCTCAAGGAAGACCAAATACATACATACATAAGAAAATTTAAATCCATTCAGGGAAAAAAAGTTTCTTCAAAAAAGCAACAATGTTGATATAGATATTTTAGCTCTTCTAACATGTATACCTAATTTATAATACCAAATAGGGTTTAAAAAATACCTATTAGGAGCTATGTTTATTACATAGGTGATGAAATAATATGTATACCAAACTCCTGTGACATGCAATTTACCTGTGCAAATCTGCACATGTACCCCTGAATCTAAAATAACAGTTTAAAAATGTAGATTCTCAGAATATAAATAAATAAATAAAAGCATTGGTGAAGTAAATTGTAACTTCAGTTTTACCCAATAAAAATGGGTAAGACGTGTCTGTAGTTAAAAGATTATGTCACAAAAGTGAATTCAATCCTTCACTAGAGTGTAGGTGTAGAAAACTGTTTAAGCTTAGAAGTTTCGGTGCAGGACACTGCTAGGGTTTAGAGACCATCCATGTTAGGCTTTCAAATATCCCCCAGGCCAGTTTCAGGTTGGGCAGCCTACTACCCCATGACATCCAATATTATATTGACATACTGATTTCATTTCTCTTGGATGTATACCCAATAGTGATTGCTGGATCGTACAGTAGTTCTATTTTTAATTTTTTGAGTAAACGTCATACTGTTTTCCATAAGGGCTATACTAATCTACATTCCCACCGATAGTGAAGAAAGATTCTTTTTCCTCCATACCCTCATCAAACTTTTTTATCTTTTGACTTTTTTCATAGCCACTCAGACAAGTGTGAGGTGCATCTCACGGTGGTTTTAATTGGCATTTCCCTTATGAATAACGATTTTGAGCATTTTTTCATATCTGTTGGCAATTTGAATGTCTTCTTGTGAGAAATGTCTATTCAAGTACTTTGCTCTTTTTAAAAATTGTGTTATTTGGCAGTTTTTTGCTACTGAGTTATTTGAACTCCTTATATACTTTGAATATTAACTCCTTATCAGATGTATGATTTGCAAATATTTTCTCCCATTTTGTAGGTCATCTCTTCATTCTGTTGGTTGTTACCTTTGCTGTAAAAGACTTTTAGTTTAATTTACTAGCGCTTGTTAATTTTAGTTTTGTCAATTGTGGGAGTCATATCTAAAAGATTATCATGCATACCAATGTCATAGAGCTTTCCCCCTGTGCTTTCTTCTATTAGTTTTATAGTTTCTGGTCTTCTGTTTATGTGTTTAATATATTTTGTGTTGATTTTTGTATATGGTGTCAGATAAGGGTCCAATTCCATTCATCTCCATATGGATATTCAGTTGTTCTAAAACCACTTATTGAAGAGATGGTCCATTCCATATTGTGTGTCCCTACCACCTTTGTCAAAGATCAATTGACCATGAATGTATCAATTTATTTCTATGTGTCTATTTTTATGCCAGTACCATGCCATTTTTGATTACTGTATCTTTTTATTGCATTTTAAAATTTAATTGGCATAAAATAATCATACACACTTATGGAGTACACAGGGATGTTTTGATAAATATAATGTACAGGTATCAGATCAAGGTAATTGACATATCCATCATCTCAAACACTTATTACTTGTTTATGTTGAGAACATTAAATATTATCCTTCCAGGTATTTGCAACTATATATTATTAAATATAGATATGTATATATGAGTTGCTCATAATAAAATTTGAGTTTCAAATCAAAATTTGAATTTTGGAAACTTGTGTTATTCACATGAGCTTGATGTTTTCTCAATAATTATAGATCTTTCTGATGAGATTAGAAGTGTTGTTAATACACATAATTGACTTTGTCATTGTATAATGAAGTATATTAAGAAGGTCTGCATCATTCTGTGAGCCAGTATTTGCTAGATGACCAATACATGATGTTACAAAATCATGCAATAGTGAGTGATTCATTAAGAATGCTAACGGTATATTCTGGATATTAGCCCTTTGTCAGATGAGTAGGTTGCAAAAATTTTCTCCCATTCTGTAGGTTGCCTATTCACTCTGATGGTAGTTTCTTTTGCTGTGCAGAAGCTCTTTAGTTTAATTAGATCCCATTTGTCAATTTTGGCTTTTGTTGCCATTGCTTTTGGTGTTTTAGACATGAAGTCCTTGCCCATGCCTATGTTCTGAATGGTATTGCCTAGGTTTTTCTTCTAGGGTTTTTATGGTTTTAGGTCTAACATTTAAGTCTTTAATCCATCTTGAATTAATTTTTGTATAAGGTGTAAGGAAGGGATCCAGTTTCAGCTTTCTACATATGGCTAGCCAGTTTTCCCAGCACAATTTATTAAATAGGGAATCCTTTCCCCGTTGCTTGTTTTTGTCAGAATCTACAATGAACTCAAACAAATTTACAAGAAAAAAACAAACAACCCCATCAAAAAGTGGGCAAAGGATATGAACAGACACTTCTCAAAAGAAGACATTTATGCAGCCAAAAAAACATATGAAAAAATGCTCATCATCACTGGCCATCAGAGAAATGCAAATCAAAACCACAATGAGATACCAACTCACACCAGTTAGAATGGCAATCATTAAAAAGTCAGGAGACAACAGGTGCTGGAGAGGATGTGGAGAAATAGGAACACTTTTACACTGTTGGTGGCACTGTAAACTAGTTCAACCATTGTGGAAGTCAGTGTGGCGATTCCTCAGGGATCTAGAACTAGAAATACCATTTGACCCAGCCATCCCATTACTGGGTATATACCCAAAGGATTATAAATCATGTTGCTATAAAGACACATGCACACGTATGTTTATTGCAGCATTATTCACAATAGCAAAGACTTGGAACCAACCCAAATGTCCAACAACTATAGGCTGGATTAAGAAAATGTGGCACATATACACCATGGAATACTATGCAGCCATAAAAAATGATGAGTTCATGTCCTTTGTAGGGACATGGATGAAGCTGGAAACCATCATTCTCAGCAAAGTATCGCAAGGACAAAAAACCAAACACCGCATGTTCTCAGTCATAGGTGGGAACTGAACAATGAGAACACTTGGACACAGGAAGGGGAACATCACACACCAGGGACTGTTGTGGGGTGGGGGGAGGGGGAGGGATAGCATTAGGTGATATACCTGTTAAATGACGAGTTAATGGGTGCAGTACACCAACATAGCACATGTATATATATGTAACAAACCTGCACATTGTGCACATGTACCCTAAAACTTAAAGTATAATAATAATAAAATTTAAAAAAAAGAATGCTAATGGTTTCAGATTGCAAACTGCAACTGTTTTGTAAGAGATCAATTTGTATAGTATGAACTATTCTAATGTGCAGTGAAGGTGCTCCTTTAACCTTTTCTAATTGTGCATTTGTATTACATATTTCAACTAAAACAATTACAACAGAATAAATGAATTATATCTGAGATTCACTGCATTCTGTCAAGCCAGACATTAAAGAAATTTGCAAAGTTGTACAACAATGCTTCTCATGTCACGAATTTGTTATTTTTATAAATTATTTTTAATAAAATTATGGCATTAATTTAAAAAGATTTTATTTTATTTTATTATTAAAATAAATATATAAATATATATTTATTAAAATACAGGAAATATAGGAAATAGGAATAAATTTATCCAAGGAGGTGAAGGATCTCTACAAGGAACCCTAGTAAATTCTGATAAAAGAAATTGAAGAGGACACACACAAATGGAAAGATTATTTAAATTCATTCCATGTTAATTTAAGATTGCCATACTACCCAAGGTAATCTACAGATTCAATGCAATCTCTAGCAAAATACCAATGACATTCTTCACAGAAATAGAAAGAAAAATCTTAAAATTTGCATAGAATCACAAAAGGCCCCAAATAGCTCATGCAATCCTGGGCAAAAATAAAGCTGGAGGCATCACACTACCAAACTTCAAAATACAGAACAGCAGATACAAGGGCCTACCTGAGGGTAGGGGAAGGAACATGAGAATCAAAAAACTAGGTGTAGGAAATTTGTGTAGGAAAAGCCCTTCACAAATTGAGTACTATGCCTATTACCTGAGTAGCAAAATAATCTGTACACCAAACCCCCACGACACGCAATTTACCTATATAACAAATCTACACATGTACTCCTGAACCTAAAAGTTAAAAACAATATAATACTATAGTTACCAAACAGCATGGTACTGGCATAAAAATAGAAACATAGACAAATAAAACAGAATACAAAAACCCATAAATTCATTCATGTATCTACAGTCAACTGGTTTTTGACAAAGGCACCAAGAGCACTTACTGGGGAAAGGCCAGTCTCTTCAGTAAATGGTGCTGGGAAAACTGAATATCCATATGCAGGTGAATGAAACTAGATCCCCACCTCTTTCCCTTTACAAAATTCAAAATGGATTAAAGACTTAAATATAAGACCAGAAACAATAAAACTTCTAAAAGACAAAATAGGCAAAATACTTCAAGAGTTGGTCTGTGAAATCACTTTATCAATAAGATCTCAAAAGCACAGGCAACAAAAGCAAAAATAAACAAATGGGATCACATCAAACTAAAAAAGCTTGTGCAAAACAAAGGAAACAAAAGAGTGAAAAGACAGCCTACAGAAAAAGAGAAAATATTTACAAACCATTTATCTGAAAGATAATTAATATCCAGAGTATACAAGGAATGCAATCACCTCAAATAGCAAAATAACAAACAATCTTATTTTAAAATGGTCAAATATATCTGTATTATATTTTTAGATCAGGTAGCATGATACCTGCAGCTTTGGCAGGTTTGTTTTCATTTTTTTGTTGTTTGTTTTCTTCTTTTATTATTTATTTATTTGCTCAAGATTGCTTTGGCTATTTGCAGTCTTTTGTGGTTCCATACAAGTTTTTGGATTTTTTCCTATTTCTATGAAAAACAACATTGGAATTATGGTAAGAAATGCACTGAATACATAAATGCTTTCGGCGCTATGCACATTTTAACAGTATTAATTTTTAAAACCCATGAACATGAGATATCTTTCCATTTATTTGTTTCTTCTCAATTTCCTTCAGTGTTTTATAGTTCAGTGTACAGATGACTTTTTATTCATCTATTAGGGGTTCTTTATGCTTCATGGATCTGTATGTTCATTGTCCTCTCTAGATCTCGTAAGTTTTCTGTCATTATTTCTTTAAATATTATTTTCTGTCATTATTTCTTTAAACATTATTTCCGTTTTTCTAACTCTTCTGCAGTTTCCATAATGTGTGCATTAGTTTTCTTGATAGTGTCCCAGAATTTCCATGGTTTATTCTTTTTGCTTTTCATTCCAATGATTGGGTAATCTCAAGTGAACTGTCTTTGAACTCATTGATTCTTTCTTCTGCTTGATTGAGTTTGATGCTGAAGTTCTTGATGGAATTTTTCAGTTCAGACATTATGTTCTTTATCTCCAACATTTTTTTTATGATTTCCATCTCGTTGTCAAATTTCTCATCTTTTATTGTTTTCCTGATATTGTTTAGTTGTTTATTTGTATTTTTCTGTCACTCACTGAGCTACTTTAAAAAGATTACTTTTAATTATTAGTTAGAAAGTTTGTATATCCTATTTCTTTAGGGTTGGTTACCGGTCCTTTTTTTCCTTTGGTGCTCTCATGTTTCCCCGATTCTTTACGACCTCTGTGGCCACGTTTTTATGCCTGCATATTTGAGTAGTTTTTCACCTTTTCTATCTTTACAGACCGGCATATGTAGGAAGAGCCCTTCACAAATCAGCTTGCCCAGAGATTCTGGGAGAACTATATGACTGGATCCATAGGCAGACTTGCTGTTGGAGTCCTTGAGCAGGGTGGCTTGGTGCTTTGGTCAGCAGGTGAGTGGGCCTGGCTATTGGTTCTACAGGAGCTGGCCTGGACCTAGATCCACTGGGGAAAACCTCAGGCTAATGTCCACTTGGGCGTCTGGTTTCTGGGTCCATGGGAACTGACCTGGCACAGAGGTCCACTTGGGTGAACTTTCTGACTACATACATTAGGGAAGACCTAGTGCTTGGGTCCTCAGTGGTGGTCCTGGTACCTGTGTCCATAAGAACCAACCTGAATCCTGGGTCCACATGAACTTACCTTGTGCTGGGATGAGCTTTGAGACTGAGTCTGTGAGGGCTAGCCTGGTGCTAGGATGGGCCTGGTGCCTGGGTTCATATAGGCCTAGAGCCTGAGTACACAGGAGTCATCCTGGTACTGGGACAGGCCTGGAGGCTGCGTCTACAGGGATAGGCTTATAGGCTCATAGCCTAGGTCTGCAGGGGTGGGCCTGGTCTTGAGTCCTCTGAACCTAGGGCCATGGGGACCACCCCAGGGTCTGGGTTAAGCATGGCACTGGGGCAAGCCTGGGGCCTTAGTCCACAGAGGTCTAGGATCTGGGTCCATGTGTGCTGGCCTGTTGCTTGTGGCCATGAGGGGCTAGCCTAGACCATAGTCCATGAGAGTCAGCCTGGAAACAAGGTCTCAGATGCTGGCCTAGTGGCTTTGTCTGTGTGGTTGGCCTAGACCCTATTGCCACAGAGGCCAGCCTGGTACCTGGGGCTACAATGGTTGTCCTGGAACTGCGTAGGTCTGGAGCCTATATCCACAGAGCCAAGCCTGGAGCTGGGATCTGCAGGTGCTAGCCCAGTGCTAAAGATGGCCGAAGCCTAGTCTGTGGAGTTGGCCTGTAGTCTAGTGCCATGGAAGCTGGTCTGGTGGTAGGGCAGGTCTGGAGGCTGAGTCTACAGGGGCTGGTCTGAGCTGTGGGAGTTGACGTACCAATTGGACGGGCTTCAAGGCTTAGTCCACAGATATAGTCTGAAGCATGAAGCCAAGGGGGCTGACCTGGCACTAGAGTTTATTCAAGGGCCTGGTGCTGGTACTGATTGCAAAGTTGGATGTTCACTTCACTTTCCTTCCTTCATACAGAGGGTATCTCCCTCCACACTGTGCTGCCTGGGCTTGATGTAGGGGTGATGTAAGGAATGTCAAGCTGTCCTTCCTATCCTATTCAGTAAGTCTTTTATTATTTCTGTGCTAAACCCACGTGACATAATTTTTACTTGTCGTGAAGGTAATTTTATGTGTAGGTAGTTGTTCAAATTGATGCCTATGTGAGGAGATGAGGGCCACCTTGCTAACATCACTCCACTCCATATTCACTTTTGAAATATTTTATTGTCACTTTGGCTAAATGGATAACTAAGTATTGTTTCACATTGATCTGTGATTCCATTTAATTAAGTATTCAAATTTTTTGATATTTTGCCTTCCGAAAATTAAATCATAAATGTAATCTTAAACTTGAACTGACTTTGAAATTTCCCATAGGGCTCTGGAAAATCTCAAAGGATTTCTTCTTTGACTTCATAAAAATAGAGATTAAAAAAAATTAGGTCTGTTTGATATGCTCAAGTGCATAAAAAGTATTGTCACATAAGAAAAAAATGTGACCTTCCCTAGACTGTATTTGTATAGGTAAATAGGAAAATATTCTTCATATAAATTTTTCATAAATTTTATGAAGTATATAGAATTTTGTCATTTTTGGCTGCCCCATAATATGTCCTGGTATAATGTGATCAGTCATAATTCCAGTTACTATTTAAAATGTTTTATGCCATGGAATAACCGAATTTTCTCATTAAATGACCTCTCACTAGCTCTTAAATCACAATCATTTTAAGTCTTTTGTCATCCACAGATAGTCTGTTTTACTCTGATGCTTTTCTGAAAGCTCTTGCAGTCCGCTACAAGCCAGAGTGCTTCATCTTTAACAAAATGTGACTATCTCTGTGACCCATGGAAAGAACAATAACAGGTAATCCGGGGTACAAGCATCTGATGCCATTGCTTAAATAACTTTGAGACTGTACACCTGGTCTAAGTCTACAGTTCCGGAAATTTAATGGAGAAGCTGATGGGTTCTTCAAACTGGTAGCCGAAGTTAAAGCAGAACAAGAATCAATTACATACGGCAGATGAACTAATGAAGTGTGGTTGTTTTTTATGGTGCTATTTTGGAACATCATTAGCTCTTTAATGTTTTATATTATGGATGTAAGAAACCTCTTTTAAAGCCATTATATTATAAATAATTTTGTAGATGATACTTTTGTAAACAGATATAAAACTTTTATATATTTATCCCTGCTTATCCCTCCAGAATTTAGAAATGCTTATTGAGTATTCTAATTCCCATTGTGACATAACTACTTGCATACGTTCAATAAGAATCTTTCCTCCTAACATGATGTAATTAGAAATATCAGTTATATTACTCAGGTTTTGAATGGAATGTCATATTTGAAAATGACATTCATAGAATCAGATATGATCAGACAGTTTTAAGGAACTATGCTGACTTTATGAGGTCAAGGCTTACAAAATCCTCTTGAAAAAATTAGCCTGGTACCTGGCTTATAGCATGCTTAGCCTTACAGTGAGTATAGAAGGTCACTTTCCGGTACTCTCAGGAACCATAGGATATTTTGGAGACCTCAAGAAGAGAGGCAGTCATTCAATTCTGTAAGTACTACAAATGAAATCTTGTGGTGAGCCATGGTTTGGCTTTCTAGTCTCGAGACTTAAAAGTCTAATGTGAGATTCCTTACAAAAAATTCCAGCAAAGAAAATTCAAAAAGTCCTACATGGTGAATCATCATTCTTGCTGCACTTACGTAAATACTGAGACCAAATCTAATGGGACCAAACTCATTTTCAAAATAGGAAAACAGGCCCGGGCGCGGTGCCTCACGCCTGTAATCCCAGCACTTTGGGAGGCCGAGGCGGGCGGATCATGAGGTCAGGAGATCGAGACCATCCTGGCTAACACGGCGAAACCCCCTCTCTACCAAAAATACAAAAAAATTAGCCGGGCGTGGTGGCGAGCGCCTGTAGTTCCAGCTACTCGGGAGGCTGAGGCAGGAGAATCGCATGAACCTGGGAGGCAGAGCTTGCAGTGAGCTGAGGTCACGCCATTGCACTCCAGCCTGGGCAACAGAGCGAGACTCCGTCTCAGAAAAAAAAAAAAAAAAAAGTCTTCGCATTAGCAGTTCATGGTTAGAAGTGTTTATACGGGGGGAAAGAATGTCTTTGTCCCTTCAAATACTAGCAGACTTCCCATAGGCTGATTCACCCTGGCTTTGATGCCTAGGCTTGGAGTGGAAGTGGTATTTGTCTCTCTTCCCTTCCTTGGACTACTATGGAAAGGAAGATCCCAACTGTACATGTCAAAACAGTGGCAAACTCTTAACCATCTTAGACCAAGGCAAGATATTAGAAGATGTTTTTTAAATTATATTGATTCAGATAAACAAATGAACTCAAATCTCAATTGAAATGAAATTAAAGCTTGTATTTTGGTAAGCCTCTGAAAATATTTCTAGGCTTACAAATAATTTTGATGTAAACTGTCTACCTTTTTTAAGTATCTAAGAGGTCAGATCCATGGATTATGTGTAGGAGGATATATCAAGAAGTCTATACAGATCATCCTCCCACACTCTAGTCCTTCAATAACAACAAGTTGTTGTTTTATTTTCTTCAGAATAAGGGGACCTGAGAAGGCATGCATTTTGGCAGGATGGTCAGAGGCAGGAATGACTCATGGTCTGAGAAATGTGCTTTTGGGAATGTGAGATCAAGAGCACTTACCTACACCAGCCACATTCTAAGATGTTTGCAAATATTACTGGATATAACTTACATCAATGCTCAAAACAAACCCTTGTATGCCAACTATATGGAGAAATTGGAACTGTGGGGAGCTTAAGCAATTAGCCCATGGTCACACAAGGGTGGGGGCTGGATTTGAAAACAGGTGGCCTCATTCCATAGGCTTCTATGCTAGAATGTCCTATACGATGTTAAGAATGCAGGCTTACTCAGCTGTATCCCAGGATGGCATCATACAAGGCTTCTGAAGAGGCGATACAGTAATCCTTCTCCATAGCATGGTTCTCTTCTTTATAAAAACCGATTTCACACCTTCATTTTTCTGAATTCCGCTAGTGGATGCCACCCATCAAAGTCCAGTGGATACCAGGGAGATGGTGTTGTGAAGTCTCCCCCTTTCTATGACTATTGTGGGCTTCGAGCTAATGTCACTAACAGCTAATGTCATAACTCTTTTACTCTGTCCATATTATTCACAATGACTCTTCTGAGCTTCAAAGTAGACCAATTATTCACAATCTAAAGACAAAAGATGAATAGTTACAGAAGTTAAGACATCCAACTAGGGTTGCAAAGAAAAGGACAGAAAAAGTTTGGAAAACAATAACGGCATGAATTTCATTGGATTCTTTTAGCTGCAGAGATGATCATGTACACAATCTTGTCCAGACAGGGCAAGAACCATGAACGGCTGTGCCCATGGTTTTTCCCTGTTTTAAGGTGATTCTCCTAATTGGTTAAGTAAATATCCTGGGAGTAGAACCCAATTAACGACCATCCTGCCCTTGGAAAGAACAACACTTTACAGGAGCTGCCTCATTTTACCCCTAGAAATGCAAGGAAGTCTCAAAAAAACAGATTATTTCAACTTTTTAATCTAGGTCCATCCTTCCTTAACATTACGAGAGGAGAAATAAATGTCTCCTAGTTCTGATGTGCATATATTTGTCAGTCAGTCTGGGCAAGTTTTACCAAGTATATGAGCCATTTGTTTTAATTTTTTTGTCTGATGTCTTTTTATAACTTTTCCCTATATTTTTGATTTTTATTGCTTTGCTTAAGTTTTCTATATATTAGAAAATTTAGGTCCTGTAGGTCTCATGCTTCTTAAATACAAAGAAAAAAAGAAAAATTAAAGCTTCTTTCTAAAACTCTTTTTGTGATTACATTTTGTCCATGAGATTTTATTCAATCTAGTTAAATCTACTGATCTTTTCCTTTAAGGCTTCTGGCTTTGGGGTTTTGCTTAGGGAAGATTTTTTTCTCTCCTTTACTACATTATGGTTCATACTATCAAAAAAAAAGCCAAAAGACATCTTTCTATTTTTTTTTCCAAGCTACCATCTTTTTTTTTAACCCCTTCACTCAGCAGGAGTATTTTAAATGTGTATGTTTTCATAGCATCACTGTAGAATTTTTCTTAGCTCCTTTTCCAAATGATTTAGGTAATAATTTATTAATCACGTTTGGATATATTTTCCTTTGCATTTCATAGGTGATAATTACCTAATTATAGATCACAATGGCTTTATTAATGTAATTATAGAATTATTTTATTACTTCAATATACTATTATTCTTAGTTTTCCAGGTAAGAAAGAGAATATATTTTTATGTGAGGAGTCATAGCCCCTTTAATTTTCAGGCCAAGAAACGCATTGAAGTGCAATAACAGTCATGTCTTACTCCTTCCCTTGAGCTAAATAATCAACTCTTGAAGCCACTCTCTGCATGGGCTCTAGACTGACACCAAGTAGCCATAAAATACCATACACTGAACAGAGTAACCATTACCCTATAGTTCCACAATGTATGTCCAATTTATAACTTCATAATCTCCCCTTTCCTGATTTGTTCCTTTTTCTTTAAAAACTGGAGGTTCTCCTTTGTTTTCTGAAGCACTCCTTGAGGCAACTTTAAAGTATGTCTCAGGCAGCTGTGCTCAACCTTGGCCCATGGCTATGCAATATAGCCATGTAGCAGAACTGCATGTATACCCCTTAAGGTTAGATTTAAAAAGAACAAGAAGAGGCTTACATTTTTGGCATATCCATCAAGATACATGGGAATAATAAAGATCTAGATCTATGGACAGTGTCCTCCACCAATAGATATCTTTCATGTCAAATTTTGATTCGGCATCTGCTTTGAAGAGGTATAATACATCCAAAACTCTTAACCCCCACAAATAGAAGAAATTAAGAAACCTCAGAGAATTCGACCCTAACCAATTTGTCCCAAAGAAAATTAGTGTTCTTCTTAGATAATATTTATCCAAGTAGGAAGGTCAGAGATATATTGAGGAATGAAGACCAATAAAAATTCATGGTATTTATGTATTTGAAGATCCAAATGATTAATATTTCTATTTTCCTTAATCAACAGATTTAACGTGATTACATTAGAGTAAACAAAACAAAAAGATCCCAGCTATCACATGTATATGTGTGAAAATTTGTAGTCTGTTCTAAAACATATATAAATTATATGAAAAGAGCTAAAACTTTCATCATAAAGGAAAAATAATTTGCTCTGTGGATATCAATATATTACAGAATTACAATCATTAGAACACTACGGTATTTGTTCAGGCATAGGCAACATAAGGGCCAAAAACTATACCATGCATATATATGACATGAGCAGTGGCCAAGGTAGAACTTCAGAGAAAAAGATGCGGTCATTTAAATGTCCATATGGTTAAAAATAAAATTTGATGCCTACTTTACCCCGGGTGCAAAAAATTAATTACAGGTAGATAATTGATCTAAAATTTAATGGTAAAATATAAAGCTTTTAAACATAATATAGCAGAATATATTCAATATTTCTCGTGAGGTTAGAAAAATAAACCTTCAATGAAACAGAAAAAGATCCAACCATGAAGGAAAATTTTTACCAATTACAACACACTTAAAGACTTATGTTTCCATGAAGACAGTTAAAAAGATAGACTCTAAGGTACAAAAAGACACTGGAAATGCATATAACCAACAAAGATCTCATACCCAAAATACTTTTTTAAAAACTCCTATAAATCAATAATGAAGAAACTTGAAGAGGCAACACACAAAAAAAGGCAATGCCAACAAACATTTGAAAATGTGTTCAAAATCATTAATTATGAATGAAATGCATCTTAAATACATAATGAAACATCCCTGCAGACCACCAGAATGCCTAAAATTAAAAGGCCTGCCAAATATCAATTAGTCCTGAAACTGCAGAACCATAGAAATTGTCACAGATGATTGGTGGAAATAAAAATTGGTGCAAAACTTTGTCCCTTGAGGCCAATCTCTGGTTGGGCTGGAGGGGCCAAGGTGCTCCCAGACCACTGGCAACAGCACTCAATAGGAAATGATTGGGGGCTGCCATTATAGACACTCCAGTGGAGGCAGCAGGGGCATCATAGGTGGGAGGTGTTCTGGCATGGTGCTCTGCAAGTGGGGTCACTCCAGAGAGGAGTGCCATGGGTAGGGGGTGCTCTGGTAGGGGGAGTTCTGGTAGGGAACACCACAGTCAGGAAGCACTCCAGTGGAGGGCTCTGTGGGCAGGAAGTGGAACATTAAACTTTCACTGGAAATAATTTGTATTTAGACTTTATGAAATTTGAAGTGGAAAAAAATAGATTTCCATACTCTGGTTGTTTCAAGTACACTTAAAAATGTTCCAATAAATGAATCGACTATCAATTTTTAAATGCAAATTAATTAAAAGTACTAATTTAGCTCCTTAGTTATACGAATTATATTTCAAAGTACACAGTAGTCACGTGTGTCTAGTGGTGCCATATTTGATAGCATAGTTCTAGATACATTTAACTTGAAAAATTACTTTTAATTGTAGAATTCCTATCTCTAATTAAATAACCTATATCTACTTTCCAAGGCATATTTTTGAAAACTTTTGTGCCCCTTTTTGTGTCTTTCCCCATCTTTGTATCCTCCTGTTGTTTTGTTGTCTCAAATCATTATTTCCACATATTAGTTTCCTAAATTTGTAAATGGAAAAATCAAATATTTGTAATCTTCTTAATTCCCTATTATTTTATCATATTGATTGATTATCCTCTGTCATATAGCCCCACAGAGAATAGAAGCCCACTTTCCTAGAACAAGCAGTTAAGTGGCTAGTATTAGACATTTGATTTAATTAGCTACTGGTGAGGTCTTTTAAATAAGCTTCTTGTGATGTCAGATTACATTCCACAGTGGTGAACACAGTCTCCACTTCATGGTGTGTGTGTGTGCGTGTGTGTGTGTATTATCTCAACAAAATTTCAATCTTGTGATGTCAGATTACATTCCACAGTGGTGAACACAGTCTTCACTTCATGGTGTGTGTGTGTGCGTGTATTATCAACAAAATTTCAATCTTGTGATGTCAGATTACATTCCACAGTGGTGAACACAGTCTCCACTTCATGGTGTGTGTGTGTGCGTGTGTGTGTGTATTATCTCAACAAAATTTCAATATTGAGGTATAAGAAAACCAGACTGGAAATTACATGATTAAAATAAAAATTACATGGTATTTGAAATAAAATAATAAAGCAATCTGTTTCACACCATACCAAGTTCAGACTTTTCCATAAACCCATAACAAACTACTGTGAAGAAGCTTTCCAAAAGTGCAATACACATTTTGTTTCAACATTTGAGCAAAGCTAGTTTTTCCAGATACTCGGAATTCCTTTGAACTGAAATAGAAGTACTATTTCAATTTACTTTCATCTGTATCATCACTGTAAAGGTAAAATTTTGGAAAACAAGGCGGGGAGGGTATCACAGAAGTGATCTGTAAGCTTGCAGGGTTCTCAATCATTGTGGTATGTCTCCATCTGATGCACGTAGGTATAGTACAATGAACGTTTCGTAAAGTAAGGAGAGAAGTGTCACAATGGTGAATAAAGAGTTGCATAGCACAACCTATCAGAGCAAACATCAGCAATGTACTCTTTAAATGTAGAACTACATGACCAATAGATTCAAGACAATTTACAGCTTTCTTTGGTTTGAATGTAAAACAGCAAAAATTCACTTCCTGTTACTACTTCTTACCCTTTTTTTCCATTGAAACTTTGATTGTATCTATATGTATATTTAACATATGCATACTTGTGTGATTTATCACTCACTCTGTATGGTTGCTCTCTAAAAATATAGTCATTATCCAGTGCCTTCAGTTCTCAAACACACTTTTTTATTCATATTCCAATTCAATGTTTCTATAACAGGGATTCAACTCAAAGTTGATAAGTTCATTTAATGCAATGTTTATTTTTCCTTAAACACACATAACTAAATTTATGGTGCATTGAAATGAATTGGCTTAGGATCCAGGCAGTGTTAAAGAAGTAGTGACAAAACCATTATATGCTCACAACTGTGAACTGCACTGTAAGAGTAAATCAAAGAGTTTATGCATGAACTTTCCATGCAGGCATTAGATAATCCAGTTTCTGTGTTAAACAAATTTTAAAAATATATTTATTTTCTGTCAAATATTTGTGCAAAGCTCACTAGAAGATATTTAAATTATTTTCTGACATACAATACATACAATGACATACAAGAGTTTAGAGACAGAGAAATATGTAATTAAGCACTTTCATAATATTTTATAGCTAGACTCTAAAAATCTAAGCTAGATTTTAATATTTGGGTAGAATTTGGGCAAATAGAAGATTTCATGAGGAAGCTAATATGGACCAAGTTTCAAAGATGCTGTAGTGAGCATACAGAGTTTGAAAGGTATTGCCAAAGGCTAGAAACATATTTTATTACATTCTTAAGTTATGAGTAACATAAACAAAAAGATGCTCAGTCTCAGCTGTCCCATCTGCTTAACAGTATTACATGCTGCCTCATATCAGTCAGAGGATTAATAGAGGTGGTATACACAAAAGTGTCTGATACAGTGAAATTAGGCAACAAATGTTAATTTCCATCTCTAGGAAAGAAGCAGCAAGAGGACAAATAGGGTGATACGACGATTGTCTCCTGCAGCAAGGAGTAGAAAACAATTCTACACATTTAGGGTACTTGAAATGTTATATAATATTAAAGGTCCAGAAAATGTATAATTTATCACAATGTTAGAAACAGTGCTAAATGCTATTTCATTAATTCTAATACATTATGAAAGCAATTTGCACAAGTCAGGAATCAACACATTAGAGAAAAAGAAGTTTTAATGAAGAGAAAAATATTCTACTCCAAAAACATAATTTATTTTTAAAAAGACATGAGAAAATCACCTTCCTAAGTGTTTGGGTAATTGTATAAAATCTACCAAGCACACATGAATCAAATAGGTAAAATGCAATAAAATTGAGTACATTTTTTAAACTGTAAAAGTAAGTTGAAATCATAACTTTAAGTTAAAATTACAACTTTTACCAAATAGTGAAAATCAGAAGCTATAAAGAACGTTGAATCGATAAAACCTGAGATGCAATGCAAAATCTAGGACAATAAAGCAGAAACTAACTGAAGAGAATGCTGGAAAAGATAGGACAATAAAGCAGAAACTAACTGAAGAGAATGCCGAAAAGATGAAAGCTTTTTGAGGTATGAGAACCTCATACAAATCTCATGCAATGCATGTGGATCTTCAGAACAAGAGTAAAAATCATTGAAGTTGTCATAGGAAAACTTTAATTATTTCTACATGAATAACAGATGTCAAGTGAAGAAGTATAGGAAAAGAGATGGGCACGGTGGCTTACGCTGTAATCCCAACACTTTTGGAGGCTGAGACCAACGGATTGCTTGAGGTCAGGAATTCAAGACCAGCCTGGCCAACATGGTGGAACTCCGTCTCTACTAAAAACACAAACAAATAGCTGGGCGTGGTTGCATACACCTGTAATCCCAGCTACTTGGGAAGCCGAGACATGATAATTGCTTGAGCCAAGATCACGCCCCTGCACTCCAGCCTGGATGACAGAGAGAGATTCCGTCTCAAAATTTTAAAAAAAAAAAGTGCAAAAATTGTAGGAAAATAGTTGCTTTCTATTTCTATTAAAACTGACTGCTTGAGATTATCAGTAGCAAGACTCCATGACATTTTTATCCCAAAATAGAGATAATTTTAAACAGCTAGTGGATGGCAGAACAACAACAACAAAAAAAGTTACTTCCCATCTTCAACTTTAGTCATCTTTTCATTACCCCACTGCTTCTAACATTCCACAGGACTTTACTCAGAGCGGATTTAATGTCCTTGTTCTTCAGACAGTAGATAACAGGGTTCAAGGTTGGAGGTGCGACAGAATAGAACACAGACACCAGCAAGTCTAGAATAGAAGGTGCATCAGACCCTGGCTTTAAATAAGCAACAGCACCTGTTACAAGAAACACAGTGACAACAATGAGGTGAGGCACACAGTTGGAAAAGGCTTTGGATTGTCTCTGTCTCTGTGATATCCTTAACACAGCAGAGAAAATGTACACATAGGAAACTACAATGCAAACTAAACATGAAAATGCATAACAGACCCCAATGGCCACACTGACACTAATGATGGCATGTTCTTTAGAACAAGTGAGCTTTAGTAGGGCAGGGACATCGCAGAAGAACTGATGTAGCTCATCAGAGCCATAAAAATTCAGAGAGAATGTTCCAGCTGTGTACAAGAGTCCCAAGGCCCCTCTGTTGAGCCAGGACAGAGCCATCAACTGGACACAGAGCCCTCTGCTCATGACAGCCTCACAGTGTAGGGGGCAGCAGATGGCAGCATAGCGGTCATAGGACATGGCAGTAAGGATGCCAATCTCTGATCCAGCCAGCAGTACCACCAAGAAGAGCTGCAACACACACCCCAGGAAGGAGATGGAGTCAGTGGAGGCGACAGAGTTGAGGATGGATTTGGGGACTGTGGCAGAAATGAGACACAGGTCTAAGAAGGACAAATGTCGGAGGAAAAAGTACATTGCCATGTGGAGACGATGGTCCAGAATCATGAGGAGAATGATGACTAAATTCATCAGCACAGCCGTGAGGTAGATCAGTGAGAAGAGCAAAGCATGCAGCCTCAGGAGCACCCAATTCTCAGTAAATCTCACAAGCAAGAATTCCATCATCTGTGTCTGATTGGTCATAGTTCAAAATTATAAGCGCCCTATGGAGTAAAGGAAAATAAGTGTCATACTAATATTAAAAAGTATCATTTGTTTCTTCATTTGTTGAATGAAGGTATGTGTAGCATCAAGGCCTAGACAAAAAGTTTAAAAATATCAAGCAATTTATATTTCTCATGGACTCAGGTGTAAAACAACTGTGGGTATATCAGTCTAACACTTAGTAGTCCTGGACTAAGATTTATTGTGAAAGAAGCAAAGAACTTCACTTCTCTCCCTCATTACTTGAAATGACTTTTGAGTGATTTTATTTCCTTTGGGAATTACAGGGTTGGCTATGCAATTATATATAAAACTGCAATAGGGCATACATTTTCATGTATAAATATCCCGGTTAATGTAGTTTTGTGTGTATTAAATGTTGTGAATGAAATTTCTGCTTGCTACTTACTGCAATATTTAAAATAGTCATTATCCTCAGGTGATACTCTAATTTACTATCCCCTTCTCACTGAAGGATGTTAAGATTATTCTCCCATTTTTGCATTAAAGTTTACTCCTTTGGTGAAAATGTGATTATAGTATCATTTTTTTCTTTCTTTAGTCCATATACATAGCATAGCACAAAAATTAAAAAGTACTCGTTATTTTCACAAATCAGTTTTCAAATATATAGTGTCATTTTTCATGAAAAGAACAAAAACCTGAGACTTAGCCAGATGATTAACATAATATTCTAGGAAGGATTTAATTAAACACAGGAAGCGACAGACAGGGATATCTACTGCATCTAACCAGAGATGCAGTGTGTCCTCTTATGTGATAGACATTCAGAGATTGTCATCTGAGATCCCTCGCACACCCCAACGTGAGGGAGAGTTTTGGCCATGTTTTTCCCTCAGATCATCTTGTCTTTAGAACCTCTCTTGATTTTACTTTAGTATCACTTCAATGGCAATTTTTTCACTTTCCCCTTTGGTTTCCAGGCCATCTCTAAAACACACAGAACAGAAAACAGGATGGACGGTTTGCTAGTTTGGAAGTAGCTCTTAGGGTATGTAGACACTGCTCTAGGTTTTATTCTCCCCAGCAGGTCAAACAGAGGAGGCTTTAAGTTTGGGGCAGCCATGAACTTGCTCATGTTGAGCTATAAGTCAGGCTCTCCATTATTGCTCTAAAGCTACTGCCAGTGCTTTTTCCAACAAGAACACCCAAAGTTTGCAACATAGCATGAGATTTCCATTTGCTCTTGAGTCTTTTCAACTTAAAAAATATTTTATTTTTGTAGACACAAGAGAGTCTCACTTTGTTGTTCAGCAGTTTTTCAACTGAAAGAGAATGTAGCAGACCATTACAACATACATTCTCCTCCTTCTCTATACACACATATGCACACACACACAGCCGAGAGGATGAGCAAGAATAAACAGAGCTTTTCCAGGATGAGCAGTCGTACCTCTAACCTTCATAGAATATGTCCATTTCAGTACAAGTGATTTTCTGAGAACTAAATTAACAAGTGATTTAAAGTTGAAAAGGGACCAGGCATGGTGGCTCATGCCGGTAATCACAGCATTTTAGGAGGCTGAGGCCAGAGGATCTCTTAAGGCCAGGAATTCGAGACAAGCCTGGACAACAAGATGAGACCCCTCTATGTCTACAAAAATTAAATAAAATAATGTTTTAAGTTGAAAAGACTCATGAGCAAATGGAAATTTCTTACTATGTTGCAAACTTTGGGCTTTCTTGTTGGAGAAAGCACTGGCCCTAGCTTTAGAGCAATAATGGAGAGCCTGACTCATAACATGAGCTAATTCATGGAAGCCCCAAAAGTAAAGCCTCCTTTGTTTGACCTGCTGGGGAATAAAACCTGGAGCAGTGTCAAAATACCCCAAGAGCTACCTCCAAACTAGCAAACCATCCATCCTTGTTTCTGTTGCATTAGCCTGTGTGTTTTAGAGACAGCCAGGGTAGCTCAGTGAGTGAGTGAGTGTCCTTTTGAGTTCCTTCCACCCCAGTGATGTTTGACTCCAATGCTAGATTTTTATCCCTTCAGTCTCATTTTTGATTTATATTTCACCTTATTTCACATGCTTACATATGAAATGAGTGATAGCATTAGTTTAAAAGTCTGTGTGCTTTTCTTTACAGATAACATTAATAACAATAAAGCTTTGCCTCATTATATTTATATACTTATTTGGTCCAGGGAAATTCCACATGATTAAATAAAAATATGCAATCTGAGTCTCAATCAATCTAAAACTGGGAAAATACATATAATACACAAAATAATCCTAAAATCAAGGGGTATCTAAGAAGGCTGGGAAGATAGGGTAAGTTCAGGTTTATATGTTTCTTTACCATTTCTATATCATATTAACAACAAATTTTATCACTTTTGTCAAGAATATGAGGAATGGAGAGAATGAGAGAGCAAAGGGGAAGAGGAGAGGAGAGGAGAGGGGAGGGGAGGGGAGGGGAGGCCTATATGGAGTCTTCAGCTCCGGAAAATGTTTCCATTCTCGAGTAAGATCAACAGAAGCAACATTCATAACAAAGGCTATATGGAATCTTCAGCCCCGGAAAATGTTTCCATTCTCGAGTAAGATCAATAGAAGCAACATTCATAACAAAGGCCGGTGAGAATGCTTTCCCAAACAGTTCTATATTTATTTCAAAATAATTTCAGAAGAGAAGAAAATAAAAATGAAATGTCTAAGTAATTTAGGACTTCTTTTCACAGTTTTTGTTCAAAGAGAGCTCTAGTTTTCAATTCTTAGGGAGATCTAGTGAATGCTGCAAACAGTTTCCTATATGCTTACCGATTCCTGCTTCAAGACCCCAACTCCCCGGGTTAAACTCACGACGATTTTGATTGACCATTTCTGTCCTCTACGTATCAGTATTTATTTCTTTTGTGCAGTCTCCAAGCTCTGCTTGATGTCCTCTGTATTAGGCACTTCCTTCTTCAAGAAGGAGCAAGGCTTTTAAAGCAGCTTTAAACAGACTTTCATTGACTATATGGGACTCTCCTGGGAGGTCACACTTTTACTTGTACTTATATTTTATTTCATAGGTTTTAAGCCCTGGAGACCCAGCTCTTCACTCTCACCTCAGATCTGAGACGTGATGCCACACCTTTTCCTCCAGTGAGTCAGAAAAGGAGATCTTTCTGGGTCTCATGAGAATAAACCTTTATTTATTGCATCCATAATATGTGACTAATGGATCCTAGACATTCATTTGCATGTGACACCTTAAATTTTGGTGTGTGTACACAGACTCTTTAAATTGAGTGTAATAATCTCAGTCCAGTTTCAACTGAGAAGGACACTGGGAGATGCAGTGCTCTGACTTTGGGGTCTGAAACATGGATTTGTTTAAGTCCTTGAGCCATCACACTTCCCTTGGATCTTTCTTTTCTCCTCTCACTCTGGATTTAAGCCTCCAGGGAAGATGACGTCCCTTCAGATTCTCACAAATGACGAGAGATGCCTGTATAGAAAGTTCCCAAGAGCACCGAATTTTCAACATCTGTTTCATTCTTAAGTGATGCCAGGGGCATCCTCATGAGCATCCTACGAGTTCAGGCTTCCCTTGGAAGCAGCAACAAAATGAAACTCAGTGGGGTCTTCTCCAGGGTTGGGATGAGGTACAGTTTATTTTCAGATTTTGATCTTGTAATATTCTTATTATATTCACGTAATTTCCAGTTATTTGCTCGCTAGTTTGCTTTGAATGACTGACTTTCTAGATATCCTGGTGGGGACAGCCTCTATGCTGCCTAGAGCTTGTTTCTGTCATCCAGCAACCTCTTGTGGACACCCCACATTCATTGCGAAGTTGACGTTTAGATTAGACCTTCTTCTTCATCATTTTATGACATTTCGTAAGAGACATATGACATCCAGCCCCATAGGACTTCATTATCTACATTTTAAAAATTAGCTTATTGATTTTTAAGGTATTCCTAGGGATTTTGACAGGGACTGAATCTAGATCAATGTAGAAAACACTGTATTTTTAGCAACATTGAGTATTTTGAGCAATAAAGATGGTATATCCCTCCATTTTTAAGTCTTTAAAAGATTCTCAGAAACATTTTGTTATTTCAGTACATATCAGTACACAACCCCCAAGCTCATTTTGTTAAATTAATCAGTAGATACTTCATGAGTTTGATCCAAATCTGTATTTGTTTGTTTAGGCTGCCATGACAAAATACTACAGATGGGGTAGCTTAAACACGTCGTCTGTGAGTGGGTGTTTCTCACGATTCTGGAGGCTGCACATCTGAGATCAAGACGTCAGCTGCCTTGGTTTCCTCTGAATCTTCTCCTCGGGCTGCAGATGGACACTGTCTTGCTGCCTCTTCCTCTGGTCGTCTCTGTGCATGCGTGCCCCCAGGGTCTCTGCGTGCCCTAATCCCTGTTCTAATAAGGCATCAGTAAGTTTAGATTGGGGACCATCCTAATGGCCTCACTTTATCTTAATAAGCTCTTTAAAGGATTTTTCTCCAAATACAGTCAGATTCAGAGGTCTTGGAGGTTAGAACTTCAAAAGATGAATTTTGGAAAGACACAGTTCAACCTGTAACATAATATAAATGATATTGTTTTTGCTTTCCATTTCCATTTGTTTTTTAATACCATGTAACAGCCTTATTTTTATCATGCAACCTTCTTAACTAGCATAGTAGCTCTGGTAGCTGTTTTGTAGATTTCTCAAAATGTCTACGTAGATACTCATTTTGTGAGGAAAAGTTGCACTTCTTCATTTTTAATGAATTTTCTTTTTCTTTTTCTTACCTTTTTTCACTGCTTGGGGCTAAATAGAGGTGGTGAGAGAATAATCCTTTTTGATCCAGATCTACAGAATAAACATTCTGGCTTTCAGCATTAACTATGATATTAGTTGCAGGGTTTTGTCTTTTGTTCATTTTGTTGGCTTTTGTTTTTGTTCTTCTTGGTTTTGAGTTAGCAGATAACTTATTCAAAAAGAGTATTGCAATAGAAAGAATTTCCCCAAGCATGATACCTGTAGTCCTCTAAATGGTCAGGCAGAAAGGGCTTTTGTTATATAGGGAGAGTGAGGAAGGCTAGAAAGGACAGGGAGTGAGGGAGTAGAATGAGCAGATAGCATGATTGAACAGATAAACAGGAAATGTCTTTCCTTAAGTTTCAGAAGGTTTGTAAAATAGGAATTGTTCCATAGTCCAATGCATTTCTTTGGTTTTTGTTTCTTTTCAGATGCCTTTTATCAGTTTAAGAGGTTACCTTCAATACCAGGTTACTGAGGATTTTTGTCACAAATTTCTTCAAATCTTTCAAATCAGTTTTCTGATAATGAGGTAAGTGTATCTATTCACTTTTCGTCTTTAGTCCACTATTATGGAAATTAATCCTTAAATCTAGAGAGACAGGTGAATATAGAGAGTCACAGCTAAGATCTGCTCACTAGGAACGAAAGCCACAGAAATAATAAACTGGAAGGGTCACAAGTTTGATGAATTTCCGAATGCTCTCAGGATGGTGTAAGAGTAAGAAACTCCTGAGGGCCGCAGTCTCAGGGGGACCTCGTACTTTCATTGGTTTTATATCTAGGAATCCCACTAAGGCTTTCAAATAAAAAGCCAAGAAAGAATCTCTCCTGGATTGGCAAAAGGGTGGAAAAGTAACCATAGCATGCCCAGAGCCTTCCCAGATCAAAGGACCACTCCAGGCAAAAAGACTTTACTACAAACATATCCTGCCTGGGGGAAGGGCGTGCTGAGTCTGAAAGAAGCCAGACTTTCAGACTTGCTTCTTCACTTAGCAAAATGCATCCAAGATTCATCCATGTTGTTGTGTGGATATCTCATGCCTTTTTACTGATGATTAGTATTCTACTGCATTGTTGAAGTATACTTTATCCACTCACCTACTGAAGGACTACTTAGTTTCTTTCAGTTTTGGTGATTATAAATAAAACTTCTATAAGCACTTATATGCAGGATTTGTTTGCACATAACTTTTCAAATCAGTTGGGTAAGTACCAAGGGACCAAATCACTAGGTCATTTGGTAAGGCCATGCTCGGTTTTGCTAAAAGAGAGGTTTTACTTCCAAATAAGATGGACTAGGAAAGAGCTCCTCAGACCCCTCCTTTTCTCCAACAGAAAGCACATGTGAAACCTAAACATAATATAAAAAACACCTGAATAAGTGCTGGCGGACTGTGGCCAAAGGTTTCTGTTCACTTGGAGAAGTGTTGTAAGGGCGCTTGACCATTTTAGTTTCCTCCATCACAGCTTTCAGTGTTGGGATATGTGCAATTCATACAGCAACACAACAGTGGTGAGCTTACGATGCTGGCCAAAATGGATAGAGATAGATCCTATTTTTTTCTGGACTGGGGCGCCAGAAAAGAGAAGACTGGGGACTATAAATCCTGAGTGTAGAGATCTTTAAAGTAAAATACAAAAAAAAAGTTAGGCCAAACACTTTCTACCCACATCTCTGGCTTACCCCTGAATCACACATGCACAGAAAGACCGAAAGATATTCAGCCATACCAAGATCTGAATGAAATGGAAGCTACTGCAAATGAAATAAAAATTGTAGTTCAAGACCAATGAAGAAATGGCTTGTTAATATGTAGAAATAATACTCACTTAAAAATAAAATAAAATGTAGAATCTCTACAATTCAGCTTTCATAATATTCAGGATAAATTCTACCCATCATATGAGGGATCTAAAAATTAAACCCACTAAGATGTGAAAAGAAAATAAATCTAGGCCAAACTCAAGATGAACCAGATGTTGAAGCAAACAGACAAAGATACTTATATTGGTCATTTATCTCAATTAAGAAAAAAAAATATGTTTTCAATACATGTGAAATCTCAGTATACAAATGGGATTTCTCCACAAAGAAATAGAAACACTTTAAAATAACCAAACAGAAATTACAAAATTGAAAATTTCTATTTCTGAAATTAAAATTTTACTGAGGGAGTAAGTACATTGAAGATAGAGCATATAAATTATCTAAGCTGATGAATTGGAAGGAGAAAAAAAAAGAACATGCCAGAAAAAATAATTATAGATATAATGGCCAATATTTTTTGAAATCTGAGGGAAATAGAAATCTGTAGGTACAAGGTGCTAAAAAACACCAGTCAGAAGACAAACACAAATAACTCAAACAAAAATAAATAATAGTAAAACTATTGAAAGCAAAGTATAAGCACCAATCTTTAAAGCAGCAAGAAAAAATTAGTAATATATTACATAAAGGGAAAAAATACTGTGAATAATGACTTCTCACTAGAAATGATGATTACACAAAGAGAACAGAAAAACATCCTCAGCATACTGAAAGGTTGAAAGGTTTGGAGGGGCAACTATCAATCAAAAATTTCATGTCCAGCAAAAATGTAATTGAGAATGAAGGAAAAATAAAGACAGCACTAGATTAAAAAAGCCTAAGAGGAATTTGTTGACAGCAAAACTGCCTGTAAGAAACACTGAAGTAAGATCTTTAGAATGAAATAAATAATACAAGAAATATACTGAAATACTAAAAAAAGTTAATAGTATCAGACATGGTCATATATGGGCTATGATAGTTAATTTTATGTGTCAATACAATTGGACTAAACAGTGCCCAAGTAGCTGGTAAAACATTATTTCTGAGTGTGTCTATCAAGGTGTTTCCAGAAGAAATTAGCATTTGAAATAGTAGACTGAGTAAAGAAACTCGCCCTCACCAAGGTGGAGAGGCATCATCCAATCCAATGAGAGTACAAATAGAACAAAAAGGCAGAAGAAAGGTGAATTCACACCCTCTTCTTGGGCTGGGATAGCAACCTTCTCCTGGCCCTCCAACATCAGAGTTCCCATTTCCAGGCCTTCAAATATATATATTTTTTTATCCAGTCAGTTTTGTTTCTCTGGAGAACCCTGACTAATACATGTGTAAATGCCAAAGATATTATTTTACAAGAAGGAGTGCATTATCAATTATAAGTAGAGTTAGAAAAAGTTAAGTATGTATATTTTCTCATTCCTGGGGCAGCTATACACAATAAAAAGCAGCTAGAAAACCAACAAATTTTTAAAAGAAATTTTAAAAATTATTCAAATAATCACTGAAAAATGGCAGGAAAGAAGAAATGGAGGAAAAGAAAGAGGAAATAAAACAGTAAAAAACAAAAATTATCTGGCAGGGTAAGTGGTTTGAAGTGTTTTATAGCCCCAGGGTTAATTTTCATTATAGCTAGCAGATGTTGGGTGCAGTTATGCAGGGTAGAGGTAGGCAGGTTATATATGACTAAAACATGTGAGGTTTTTTTGCTATGTTTGAATCAACTGGATTTGTAACGATTTGAGTTTGGTGTCATCAGGGTTTGAGCTAACTGTCACAGCCTGCTGTGAAGAAGTAAACTACGTGAGGGCCAATCTACAGGAGCCACCTTTGACTCATTTATATAATACCCTGAAGTGTACCTCCTGTAATTTAATAAATGTTCACAAGGTTTCTATTTGGCAGCTTTGTTTATAACCACAAAATTTTGAAAACTAAATACCAAAACATATAGTAATTATTGAATAAACTATTACCTATATTTACATTGGAGTATTCTTCAACCATTAAAAAATAATGATAATGAAGGCAGTTTCCATAAACTGTATCTAATGTTTGCCAGCATTTATTACATTAAAGAATCAAATGTAAGGGAGTATACTTCGTATGCTATAAGTAACAAGAAAACATGAGCAAATCTTTTTTTGTAAAATTGAAACCTGCAAACAACAAACCAGTAAACCCTGAAATTGCTTTTCTGTAGATCTCGAGCAATGGGGTGGAAAGGATAGAGAGTGACATTTCATTGAGAATAGTATTCTGTGGGGTTTTTGTGTGTATTTTTACTTTGGAGAAGCATATTGATTTTTTACATATAAAAACTGTCAACAAAAGTAAAGGACAAAAAACTTTAAAATTAAATGCAAACCAAATCAAATGAAATAACTATGCTTCGAATGAAAAACAAAACCATGTTCAAAAGAAAACAGAAAGAAACCATTTTAAGTAACTTAACCATAGGCTTAATATAAACTCTTAAGTCTAAAGGGGAACAGAGCTACAAGCAAATCTTCAACTATGTTATGTTGGCTTGTTGTATGTTTCAGGAGTCTTCATTTTTAGCAAAGTGCTCAGATGATTATTATACAGTATATTACATAGCTTGGTTATCACTGTCCTATAGCCTATAACTCTATGATAAGTAGAATTAAGGGAATACTTGAGTACTTTATTATTTTTCTGCTAAAAGACTGAGTCATGTCCTTAACAGTGTATTTCAGAATGTTCTGGACCTACGTTGGAAACAGTTGTTTCCTCCCTACAGAAAACACATGTGATTATACTGCTAATGGTCTTAAGAGATAATCACTTAACAAGGTGATTCAGAAAATATTTAAAACATTTTTCTTTGGGGAATTCTAAAGTATTAGCCAAGTGCCTTAAAAATAATTTGTTGCAGTCCCTTGACTATAGACGTTTACAAATTATGTCAAATTTGAAATAAAAGAAAGGCAAATAGTCTTCCTCATTGTGGTAGTATGCATCCTTCCATGTGAAGAAACTACCACAGCTTTGCAGAGCTCTTTGAGTCTTTTATCAAAAGTCTAGAGATGGAACCATGTGCTATGTTGACACGGAGTTTATGAAGGAAGCTAGATGTTTTGTTTTAATTTCAGGTAATCAACTGACAAATTAAACTTTTTATTCTGGGAGGAATATTTCTACCCTTGTGTAGATGTGATGGAATTATCTCCTTAAGGACATCTGATGAGTAATCCTGTGTCCATGTGGTTGAAAAATTGGAATTATTTTACGGTATTAATTTCAAATTTCTGTTGGTAAAATGTTAAAGTACTCTCTGTTTCAAGGCAAAATTTTTAAAATCTTGTAGCTATTCCAGATATACAATCATGTCATCTGCAAACAGGGACAATTTGACTTCCTCTTTTCCTAATTGAATACCCTTTATTTCCTTCTCCTGCCTAAATGCCCGGGCCAGAACTTCCAACACTATGTTGAATAGGAGTGGTGAGAGAGGGCATCCCTGTCTTGTGCCAGTTTTCAAAGGGAATGCTTCCAGTTATTGCCCATTCAGTATGATATTGGCTGTGGGTTTGTCATAGATAGCTCTTATTATTTTGAAATACGTCCCATCAATACCTAATTTATTGAGAGTTTTTAGCATGAAGGGTTGTTGAATTTTGTCAAAGCCTTTTTCTGCATCTATTGAGATAATCATGTGGTTTTTGTCTTTGGCTCTGTTTATATGCTGGATTACATTTATTGATTTGCGTATATTGAACGAGCCTTGCATCCCAGGGATGAAGCCCACTTGATCATAGTGGATAAGCTTTTTGATGTGCTGCTGGATTCGGTTTGCCAGAATTTTGTTGAGGATTTTTGCATCAATGTTCATCAAGGATATTGGTCTAAAATTCTCTTTTTTGGTTGTGTCTCTGCCAGGCTTTGGTATCAGAATGATGCTGGCCTCATAAAATGAGTTAGGGAGGATTCCCTCTTTTTCTATTGATTGGAATAGTTTCAGAAGGAATGGTACCAGTTCCTCCTTGTACCTCTGGTAGAATTCGGCTGTGAATCCATCTGGTCCTGGACTCTTTTTGGTTGGTAAACTATCGATTATTGCCACAATTTCAGCTCCTGTTATTGGTCTATTCAGAGATTCAACTTCTTCCTGGTTTAGTCTTGGGAGAGTGTATGTGTCGAGGAATTTATCCATTTCTTCTAGATTTTCTAGTTTATTTGCATAGAGGTGTTTATAGTATTCTCTGATGGTAGTTTGTATTTCTGTGGGATCGGTGGTGATATCCCCTTTATCATTTTTTATTGTGTCTATTTGATTCTTCTCTCTTTTTTTCTTTATTAGTCTTGCTAGCGGTCTATCAATTTTGTTGATCCTTTCAAAAAACCAGCTCCTGGATTCATTAATTTTTTGAAGGGTTTTTTGTGTCTCTATTTCCTTCAGTTCTGCTCTGATTTTAGTTATTTCTTACCTTCTGCTAGCTTTTGAATTTGTTTGCTCTTGCTTTTCTAGTTCTTTTAATTGTGATGTTAGGGTGTCAATTTTGGATCTTTCCTGCTTTCTCTTGTGGGCATTAACCCCATTGTCTCAGCCCAAAATCTCCTTAAGCTGATAAGCAACTTCAGCAAAGTCTCAGGATACAAAATCAATGTACAAAAGTCACAAGCATTCTTACATACCAACAACAGACAAACAGAGAGCCAAATCATGAGTGAACTCCCATTCACAATTGCTTCAAAGAGAATAAAATACCTAGGAATCCAACTTACAAGGGATGTGAAGGACCTCTTCAAGGAGAACTACAAACCACTGCTCAAGGAAATAAAAGAGGATACAAACAAATGGAAGAACATTCCATGCTCATGGGTAGGAAGAATCAATATCGTGAAAATGGCCATACTGCCCAAGGTAATTTACGGATTCAATGCCATCCCCATCAAGCTACCAATGACTTTCTTCACAGAATTGGAAAAAACTACTTTAAAGTTCATATGGCACCAAAAAAGAGCCCGCATCGCCAAGGCAATCCTAAGCCAAAAGAACAAAGCTGGAGGCATCACACTACCTGACTTCAAGCTATACTACAAGGCTACAGTAACCAAAACAGCATGGTACTGGTACCAAAACAGAGATATAGATCAATGGAACAGAACAGAGCCCTCAGAAATAACGCCGCATATCTACAACTATCTGATCTTTGACAAACCTGAGAAAAACAAGCAATGGGGAAAGGATTCCCTATTTAATAAATGGTGCTGGGAAAACTGGCTAGCCATATGTAGAAAGCTGAAACTGGATCCCTTCCTTACACCTTATACAAAAATCAATTCAAGATGGATTAAAGACCTAAACATTAGACCTAAAACCATAAAAACCCTAGAAGAAAACCTAGGCATTACCATTCAGGACATAGGCATGGGCAAGGACTTCATGTCTAAAACACCAAAAGCAATGGCAACAAAAGACAAAATTGACAAATGGGATCTAATTAAACTAAAGAGCTTCTGCACAGCAAAAGAAACTACCATCAGAGTGAACAGGCAACCTACAAAATGGGAGAAAATTTTCGCAACCTACTCATCTGACAAAGGGCTAATATCCAGAATCTACAATGAACTCAAACAAATTTATAAGAAAAAAACAAACAACCCCATCAAAAAGTGGGCAAAGGACATGAACAGACACTTCTCAAAAGAAGACATTTATGCAGCCAAAAAACACATGAAAAAATGCTCATCATCACTGGCCATCAGAGAAATGCAAATCAAAACCACTATGAGATACCATCTCACACCAGTTAGAATGGCAATCATTAAAAAGTCAGGAAACAACAGGTGCTGGAGAGGATGTGGAGAAATAGGAACACTTTTCCACTGTTGGTGGGACTGTAAACTAGTTCAACCATTGTGGAAGTCAGTGTGGCGATTCCTCAGGGATCTAGAACTGGAAATACCATTTGACCCAGCCATCCCATTACTGGGTATATACCCAAAGGACTATGAATCATGCTGCTATAAAGACACATGCACACGTATGTTTACTGCGGCATTATTCACAATAGCAAAGACTTGGAACCAACCCAAATGTCCAACAATGATAGACTGGATTAAGAAAATGTGGCACATATACACCATGGAATACTATGCAGCCATAAAAAATGATGAGTTCATGTCCTTTGTAGGGACATGGATGAAATTGGAAATCATCATTCTCAGTAAACTATCGCAAGAACAAAAAACCAAACACCGCATATTCTCACTCATAGGTGGGAACTGAACAATGAGATCACATGGACACAGGAAGGGGAATATCACACTCTGGGGACTGTGGTGGGGTGGGGGGAGGGGGGAGGGATAGCATTGGGAGATATACCTAATGCTAGATGACGAGTTAGTGGGTGCAGCGCACCAGCATGGCACATTTATACATATGTAACTAACCTGCACAATGTGCACATGTACCCTAAAACTTAAAGTATAATAAAAAATAAAAAAAATAAATAAATAAAAAATAAATAAATAAATAAATAAATAAATAAAATCTTGTAGATATTAAGGAAATTTAGGGCAGACAAAAAAACAATTAATTATCTTCCTCCTCCCTTTTGTCCTTCCTTGTGTATTTCTCCAGACTGACCATTGAAGTAAGCTAATAAATGTCTTCAGAATTATTTAATCACTCTACCACATTTTCCAAGTTCACTATATACTGCTTCTCCACATGTGATCCAAATGTCCGTAACCTTTACTTTATTTTTTAAGCTTCTTTTCCTAAAGCATCTTCTCTACAGATCTTTGTCCTGTATTTCTTCTCTTCATTTTGTTGTCAGCCCTCAGGTCACCCACATAGAAAGCCCTTTCATCTGGTTAATCTCTAAAATAACACCTTTGTATTATCTTAATGCCTCCCCCAATCTGAGTTTATCTTGTTTACTAATTTATTTGTTCTTTTTCTGCCTCCTCCCATCAACACAAAGCTCCTAGGAAAAAACAAAGTTGTTTATTTTTTAAATCTCTACCATCTAGTTTGATGTCTGATATATATGGAACATTTTTTTGATCTTTTCAATAAAGAATAAATAACTCTACATCAGTAACTAATAATTGAGGGAAATATTTTAAACACTGAAAGAAGATATTTGATAGTTTTACAAAGTAAATTACCGACAACTGACCATGATCAAGAAAAATTATTCAGTTAGGATGGGAAAGCCATTTTATCATGGTGCCCTGTCAAAATTCCTTTATAAACAAATCAACCACCCTTATAATGATGTGGCTTTAGTACACATATGCACATTCAAAGAACATGAAATTTTGCTAAATAATTCATTTTTTATTTCTACACTAAGTGAGATATTCATTATGTTAGAATTGCATGACCTCAAGATAATACAAACATTGAACAACAAATCCTTGTTTATTTTCCCTTGCTTACTATCATTAGAATAGAGAAGGTTATTTACCTGTGTTAGATTATTCAATACATCTGTAAGTGTGACTTCATGTTTACAACATCACATGATAATTGATATTTTGCACCTGTATAGGATATTAGGGATACTAACACAATCTAAAGACATGGGCCTTTGGATTGCTTTTCTGAAAGCAAAGGATTCATCATGAAGCATGGCATAATAATAATTTGATGCAAATTCTCAGTGGGTTGGAAAAGCTTCTGTGTTTAGTCAAGTTACATGTGTCTTGTAACAAATTAAGTTTGAGGCTATAGGATTAGGTAAAACTCATAAAGTCTAATGGAATTTACACATTACTCATGGAGTTTATCTTAAAAAATGAACAATGAAGTTTTAAGTAAATGGAGAGCCATTTTAGGTAGGTACATGACTCCTTTCCACTGAATATTTTTGTATATCAATATGACTCTTGCTAGTCTGTATAGACTAATTTTTTAATTTTTTTCTCCTTTATTCTTTTTTTGCATATTTTCTCACCTTGACAGGCACTGAAGAGAATCTAGTATGGCCAATGTCACCTTGGTGACAGGATTTCTTCTTATGGGGTTTTCTAATATCCAGAAGCTGCGGATTTTATATGGTGTGCTCTTCCTACTGATTTACCTGGCAGCCCTAATGAGTAACCTTCTCATCATTACTCTCATTACCCTGGACGTAAAGCTCCAAACACCCATGTACTTCTTCCTGAAGAACTTATCCTTTTTGGATGTCTTCCTGGTGTCTGTTCCAATCCCAAAATTCATTGTCAACAACCTAACCCACAACAATTCCATTTCCATTCTAGGATGTGCCTTCCAGCTACTTTTAATGACTTCCTTCTCAGCAGGAGAGATATTTATCCTCACTGCCATGTCCTATGACCGCTATGTAGCCATCTGCTGTCCCCTGAACTACGAGGTAATCATGAATACTGGAGTCTGTGTGTTAATGGCAAGTGTTTCCTGGGCCATTGGAGGGCTCTTTGGTACTGCGTACACAGCTGGCACATTTTCCATGCCTTTCTGTGGCTCCAGTGTGATTCCACAGTTTTTCTGTGATGTTCCTTCATTACTAAGGATTTCCTGTTCTGAAACACTAATGGTAATTTATGCAGGTATTGGAGTTGGTGCATGTTTAAGCATTTCTTGTTTCATCTGTATTGTGATCTCTTACATTTATATCTTCTCCACTGTACTGAAGATCCCTACCACTAAAGGTCAGTCCAAAGCTTTTTCCACATGCTTCCCCCATCTCACTGTTTTCACTGTTTTTATCATAACTGCTTATTTTGTTTATCTTAAGCCACCTTCAAATTCACCATCTGTTATTGACAGGCTGCTTTCTGTGATCTACACTGTGATGCCTCCAGTATTTAACCCTGTAACCTACAGCCTGCGGAACAATGACATGAAATGTGCTCTGATAAGGTTGCTGCAGAAAACATATGGTCAGGAGGCTTACTTCATTTAACACTTTCAAGTTCTGTCAGTGATACAGTGCCTTACAGATCACAAGAAACTTTCCTTATTTGTAACTTTGGAAAGACCTGAGAAAAGAAAGCAATATACTCAAATTATTTTTTCCCTGAAGAAATAAATACTCAAGAGCCTAACTGACTATTTCTAAGTCACTTAATTGCATTACATCAGGATAATACATAGTGTTATAGTAATCATTTGGTATTCTTCTATGACAAAGCATTTCTGCCTTTGTATTATAACTTTCTGAAAGAATTGGTTCTGTTTAACATGATGCTTTCATCTTTGGTCTCTTAATAACCCATTTTCTCTATTTTATTCACTGAGAACAAATTAAAAATGCTGAGGTGATTCAATGAGTGCAGTATAATGCATTTGCATTATACTACCCAGATAAAATTCACATGACTCCCCTGAGAATCTAGCTAGAGCTGAGCAAGAACAATACTAGGCAAAAATAACACAGTGAGCTAAGGCCATTTTAGAGGTGTGCCCAGATCTGTAAACAATCTGCAGGACACCTAAAGCAGAGGTGAGAAGACATGTCTGAGCCAAGGTCTCCTAGGCAAGTGGTGGTCACCCAGTAAATAGTATTTCCAGAAACAGACCAGGCAGAGTTCTGAAGGTCTGAGAACTGTGTGTTTCTATGTGTCTGCATGTCTATAGTTCAGAAAGGCCTTCACCTCTCCCTGTATAAAGAATAATGTTTTAAATCTGATTCTGAAGAGAAGCTTGGAAATGTGTTAAAATGATTTCCCAAGTCATTCAGTTGTGATAGACTTCCTTTGGTTTAACCACGAGTGTCTACAATGTGAAACCTTTTTCTTTACCTTCTATATAACCCCCCTAGAGATTCTGTGTCTTATTACAATAACTTTCTGGGTTTTATATTGACTTTGTTATGTTCTTATTTATCTAAGAAAAAATACAAATATTCCTAAGATTGTTCTCAATTATTATGCTCTTTTTTCAATCATGTTACTAATGTTTTATTAACCATTGAATTAACTAGATGGCCAGGTAATAATTCTGAGTCACATGTTATCTTATTTAATCATGTCCCAAATATCCTCTGACAGCTATGTTGATTTTTACCATACCAAAATAAGATGCTAAAAATATAAATAAGGTTAAATTAAACTTTCATGATATATCTTACACATAAAATTTCCTTTAAGTTCTACCAGAGGGAAAATCACACAATTATTTGTTCTTTCCCTTTAAAGAAAAAAATGTATGCTAAACATGAATCAATTATGTTGACATGTACATCTACCTATTGTCAGAGTTGAGTAGGCAGAGTTGTAAAAGAGAAAAGACTGTTACCCTACCCTCAGTTAAATTATATTGGTGAAATATTTTTGGTTTAAATATTTAAGAAATTACGTGCATTGTGGAAAATCTGTTGAGATTTTTCAGTGTCCTCCCTTTTGTTTTTTTAGTAGCATCTGATATTTTATAATTATAGTCCTCTTTTTCTTATACTTTATTAGTTTTATTGATACACAATAATTGTATATATTTATAGGGTACATATGATATATTGATTCAGGCATATAATGTATAATAATCAAATTGGAGTATTTGTGTTTTTCTTTGTCTGCCTGAATTATTTCAACAGAGTTGTCTTCAAGTTCAAAATTTTTTTCTTCTACTTCATCTAGTATTTTGTTGAAGCTCTCAATTACATTTTTATTCCATTCATTAAATTCTTTAGTTCCAGGATTTCTATTTGTTCTTTTTTACGGTATCTATTTCTTGTCGAATTTCTGATTCGGATCATGATTTTTTTTCTTATTTCTTTGTATTATTTATCTGTGTTCTTTTGTATCTCACTCGGGTTCTTTCAGAGAATAATTTTTCTTCAGGCATTTTATATGCCTTTTCTTTGGGGTCTTTTACTGGGGAATTATTGTCTTCCTTTGTAGGTGTCATATTTCCTTGCTGTTTTGTATTTCTTTCATCCCTATGTTGATATCTGTGCATCGCATTTAACAGTCACTTCTTCCAGGTTTATGGAGTAGCTTCTGTAAAGAAATACTTTTTCTTACTATATATGTGGCTTCAATTTTGGTTGGGCAGATTGCTTTGGCTTTGGTTCTGGATATGCACCATACTGTAGCCACTGTATGATTTCTTTTACTGTTATCAATGTCAGTAGTTTCTGTGCGTTCCTTAGTGGCTTAGGTTGCAGTTGTTTGCAGATGCTTTGGCTAGCCTTTGCTGAAGATGAGGACACAAGGTTGACTGGTGCTTAGGCCTTTTGGTGGTGTGTGCAAGTGCTAGCTGTAGTGGCAGCAAACCCTCAGTAGGCCAGTCTTTAGACCTTTGAGTGTGTAACAAGGATGCTGGCTGTAGAAACAGCAGGCTGGACAGGCTGGCCCTCAGGCTCCTGGGTGGGGTGTGTGGGTTCCAGTAGGCTGGACACACCACTCTTCAGCCTCTGGACAGTGTGTGCAGGTGCCTACATGTGTACTTACATGGATCTCTCATTTACCTTTTTTCCATATGAGAAGGGAAGTACTTCCTGGCTCCTAGCCCATCCAACTGGCTGCCTTACTTCCTTCTCTATGCTGCCATTTTGAATTTCCATACCTCAGAAGGTTCCTTTTGCTTCCCTGCTGGATACCAGCATTCTCTCCTAGACAGTGCCGTCAACATTTGGCTATTTACTTGCTATCTCAGTCCTTCTTTGTGGAGTAGGTGAGTGCTGGGCATTTCTAGTTAGCCATCTTAATGACAGCTGTCCAAATTATATCAGTGCCTTATTTTTCTATAATATGTTTTAATTACCAGGGAAAAATTGATAAAAAACCATTTTTTAGAAGATTGACAGCTAGTAAATATTTAAGAAATAATAGAATTTAAAAATTCATAATATTAATCATCTATATTGGAATTGATTCAGGCAAGAATCAGCCATGGATGATGAAACCACTAGAAAAAGAGTTGCAAGAAAATGAGATATCTTCATAATGACAAGCTTTTAACCTCAAACTATCTATTCCATATTTACAATAAAGAGAATGATGGTAGCCTCCATAATCTAATTGATCAAACTGGTAACAATAATAGTAAAATAACTTATGTGCCTCCTGATATGTTACAATATGTAGACTACATCATCCTTGAAATATTCTCTTAAAATATTTAACCTGGAGTTTAATCAAGCCTCAGAACTAACTTCCAGTTTTCAGAAAAACAGAAGATACAAATTTAATAATACCACATGAGAAACAACTGAACAAACAAATAATATGAGACATCCTGTAAGAGACTGATGAGACTGCTCAAAAAGTCAAATTTGGGGGCAAAATGACCAAGGAGAGTCCTACAGTAAAAGAAACTAAAGATGGATTACATATTCACAAGAACATTGAAAAGTATATGGTATCTGAGAATAACTCATCAATGGGGAAAAATAACTTTTGGAGAATATAATTTTTTAAGTTACCTAAGAGTATGAACAAAATGAAAGTAGTTGGATTATATACTGTGTACAGGGATGAGAAGATTCAATAAAGGTGTTGATTCTCCATAAGTAACCAATAAACTTTTCATTTGAAGTCTTAAAGTAGTTCAAAATGGAACTTAAGTTTTTAAAACATTCATATACACAACTTAACAGCCATGAAAATTAAAACAATTTTTAAGATGAAAAAGTAAGAAGTAGAGTAATGGCTTTTCAGATATAAACATGTCTATAATATTACAGTAATTGAAAGATTATGGTTGTTTAGAGATAGAAAATGGACCAAAGGAAGAAAACTCAATCCATTCATGAATGGTGACCAGAATATGACAGAGGATAAATCATACATTACTGGAAAAGGAATGACTAGAAAGGAAAATAATGTAGAAAAAAATAGAATTAAATATTTTTAAAATCCACCTTACACTACACATACAAAAAATAAAATTCAGATGAATTACAAACCTAAATATACTGAAGTTCACATCCTCACTGACACTTAACTTTTATCTTTTTTATGATAGCCACTCTAACAGGTGTGAGGTGATGTCTCACTGTGGTTTTAATTTGCATTTCCCTGATCTTTAGGGATGCTGTGCACTTTTTCATATATTTGTTGACTATATACCTTCTTTTAAGAAATAACTGTTCAGGTCCTTTGCCCATTTTTAAATTAGATTATTTGTTTTCTTGCTATTGAGTTTAGTGTCTTATTTATTTCAGATATTAACTCTGTATCAGACATATGGTTTGCAAAAGTTTTCTCCTAATTCAGTTTGTCTCTTGTTAACTATTTCCTTTGCTATGCAGAAGCCTTTTAGTTTGATGCAATCCCATTTGTCTAATGCTTTTGTTGCCAGTGTTTTGGGGGTCTTATCCAAGAAATCATTGCTCAGACCAAAGTCATGGAATTTTAATTCATTTTGCATTGATTGTTGCATATTGTGTGAGACAGGGTCCAATTTCATTCTTCTGTATATAGCTATCCAGTTTTTCCAAAGTACTCAGCATGCCAAAGTGTCATACTTTGAGGTATCATTTTCTGAGCCCAAACATAAGCATTACTGGTGTTACTGTAGAATATATTTTCAGATTGTTTCACACGAACAAACAAACTAAAAATATTAAATATAAACAGCAAAGGAGAGAAATTCTATTGTTTCTTTTCTATTTCTTAAGTTGTTTTGCATAGTGATTTATTTCTCAATAACTTAAAAAAAAATGCTTATCAACGTGTTGGGGCTTAGGATACAACTCCAAAATATGACTGTAAGAGATCAGAATACGTCACCTCAAAGTATACTTCTTGGGCAAATTTCCAGCAGGTTACTTTGAGAAACTGCAGACATGGCTACTTTTTTATTTTTTAAAAAACTACATCTCTAGAGAAAATCTACAATAGAAAATGTATCTGTATCAGGAAGAAGGCTGCTCTAGGGCAACTTTCATTATCTGATATACTTTTTATCTGCATAACAAGACAATGTGTATGCACAATACATTTTTCCCCCTCATGCTCCCATAACCTGTCAACGCTATGCTCCAGAGATCCCTACCCCTTAATCTTATCTACAGCTAAGGGTGTTATATAAGCCTCAATCATGTGGCCCTTCTTTGAATCTCATATTTTGTGGGACTCCTGTGTATATGAACATTATTGAATGTAATTTTTCTCCTGTTAGTCTGTCTTGTGGCAATTTAATTTGTAGCCCTGTCAAAGAACTTAGAAGGGTGAAGGAAAGCCATTTTCCCTACCCTACAAGCACATAGATGATAATATACCTTTAACTAAAATTTAATTGTGTAGAACAATTATAAGTTTGCAAGTGAATTTTCTAGAATTTAGGAAATATTTCTGTAGAAGGATCACGGCATGTGTTTTCACTCTTCTAGTTTTACCTGAGCTCAATCAGCCTAAGTCTTCTAGAGGCATCCTTATAGTCCAGCAGTCAGCTTTATTGACCCATGGACGTAAAGGGGGCTGCAAATCACAAGGATCACAGGGCGTCTCATTAAACAATGTAAAAGACAATTATTTTAAATTTGGGGAAGGGTGAAGTTGAGGTGAAATTTAAAAGAAGTGATTTAATAGGCGGAAAGCAAAGAAAGCTCCTTATGGAAGGTCAACATCAGATCTGGACACAAATGTTCTTTTTCCTTGGAAACTACAAAATTAAGATACATGAGAAATTTTGTGTTCAGAAACTTTTTATCTGAAGCTCTGCTCCTCGAATAGAATGTGAGGTTGTATGTCTCTGTCAGCGTGAATTAGGTACTCCTAGAAAGGGTGCCATATTTTTTTCTTATCCATATGATTGAAAACAACAAATTTCTGATGTGAAAGATTTTTAAATAAGAAATTTTCTCAGTGAGAAAACAGTTATCACTCAAAGAAGAGAATCATTATGACAATTTACAACTCCAACATGTCCTTGGGTAAAATTGTCTTCTGATATATTTATAACTGGCTTTTTCTTCCCTTGCTATTTTAGTCTGATGAACAGCCAGGCAGATTTTTTTTTTAATTCAGAGATAATTTTAAATTTCTAGTTATATCATGCTTCATAGTACTTAATTATATTTTTAGTTAAGGTCATTTGTCCAATTTTATTCTGTTTGATCTGTTTTAAAGAGTTTTTCACAAACTTGTTGAACTTATTAAATGGCTGTATTTGCTAAAAACTCTCCGCAAGACAAAATACTTAGATTAGCATATATAAAGCCCAAAGAGATATCCTTTTCCTGTTCCAATAACTTTACAATTTAGTTGTTTAAATTAAATAACTGAAAACATTCTGAAGTCATCCATTTGGAAAGATTTAGTGCAAGGGCATCATGTCTTTTTGAACTAGCCCTAGATACCTGAGAGAGACTTCATCTCCCAGAAGATTCATCCGTACATAAGCAATTACTTAAAAACAAGTGGTTTCCAGAGTCGTGCCAATTATGATGAAGAGAGATGGAGAAAATATAAAACAACAAAAGGGAAGTGGAATGGAACTAGGACAGAATGGGGTCAGAGCATAAGAACAAAAGGAAACAGAAAAAGACTGAGCTCTAATTTCAAAGATTATGAAAGTTTGAGTTAATAAAGGAGTAATGGATGTCAACCGAAGGAAGCACACTATTAAACAGCAAGATAATCAAAGAAAAACAGAGATATAGAGGGAATAATTGCAATCAAAATATATTATTTTTAAATAAAGAAAATCATGGAATAAAAAATGAGTAAAAGTAAGGTCAAGAGACAAAGCTTTTGGAGTTTATGGCAGAAAGAATTTCAACTGGGTAAGTGAAAAGGGTGATTATGCATTCGACAAGTTCTGTCCAGTGTTTCATCAATGGGTAATTTCTAATTTTTTTTTTGAGACAGGGTCTCACTCTGTCGCCCAGGCTGGAGTGCAGTGGCGCGATCCTGGCTCACTGCAACCTCTGCCTCCTGGGTTCAGATGATTCTCCTGCCTCAGGCTCCCGAGTAGCTGGGACTACAGGCATGCACCACCACACCTGGCTAATTTTTGTATTTTTAGTAGAGAGGGGGTTTCACCATGTCACCCAGGCTGGTCTCAAATTCCTGTCCTCAAGTGATCCCCCCGCCCTGACCTCCCAAAGTGCTAGGATTAGAGGTGTCAGTCACCACGTCCGCCAGATGGGTAAATTTGTAATCACAAAATTGTGGTATATGATTGATCCATTATAGTATTCAATCAATACTGAAAACCTCCTGAGAGTAAGAAACAATTTTAATGTAGGTGTTTTTAAATAAGATAGTGCATGTTTCTATGAAAAAATAACTGTCATATTATGTATTTAAAATTATTTTTCAGATGTAAGAAATTAAAATTACTTATACTCAAACAAAAAAATTATTAAAAATTCAATCGACTTATATAAGAAAGATTAATCTGTTAGTTAATCTGAAAAATTAAAAGGTAATTTACTTCAACCTAATAAATCAAACTATATTTTTCTCTGATTTTTATTTTAAGCTCTTGTTAAGTCACATCCACAGATTTCCATTTAGGCTGTCTTAGAAGTAAAACGAGAAACACTCGAGTCTAGAGCAATATATACAGGTTTTCACATGTGGGGTTGATCATCATGTGCTTCACGTAAATATTAGGTCATGGCATCTGACAAATTCAGCAGCATAAGTAAAAGTAAAATACAAAAATGTCATTTCATAATATGGTTCTGGATATTTATTTTATAATTTTTAGTTATCAAAATGATTTTTGAATTTTGAATATAGAAAATTATGAGTATAATTGCCTTATTCACATTACTCATAGAAGTTAAGAATTAAGATAGAATTATTTCATACTAGCTTTTCAAAATAGCTTTGCCCAGCGATTTCTATTGGAACATAAATTAAAATATTTTTAAAATCTGCCAATCAGATGCCGTAGGAACCTATAAAAAATATCTGAAAGCCTCAAGTTCAAAGTGCTTTGGCTCCAGAATCAGACGTCTTGGATTGACAGTCATGGCTCCACTTTGAATAACTTCTTCAGCTTCTTTGTGTTTTGGTTTTCTCATTTGTGAAACAAGTAGGATAAAAGCAAGCTAACAGGATTTACAAAGATCACATTAGCTAACAGTCTAGTGACTGGCAATTCACCATTCACTATGTTAGCTACTTTTTGCTGTTCTTAACAATGCTCCCTGATGACCTTTAAAGAAAAAAAAATGGATTATACCAAAAGACATTAACAGTTGACATTGGCACTTGAATTCAAAAATAGTTATTACATGTACTGGTTGGCCGTGAATGACACATATGTTGGAATATATTAGCTTTAAGAAATCTGCAAATATATTATTTAGTATTTATTGTTAAAGAACACCCTTTCTTTGTGTTTCTTATTCTATGTCACCCATCAGTATCTAGGGCATTTTTTTCTGTATTAGGGTAATGAATTCATAATCTAGGCTCCTTTACCAGTGTAAAGGAGGAAAAAAATATTTTCCTTCTTCCCATCTTAGGTTCAGTGGGTGGAATCCTGCAATTTAGACTCACCAAAGACATATAAGCAACAAAAAAACAGAAGTTTATTGACAAGTGCGTTGCACATACACACGGGAGAATTCAGGGATGAGTAATTCAAAGAATTGGTTAGAACTTGGTCTTATATAGTATTTTAACAAAAATACAATAAATTTGTAGAGAAGCGACAAGACAAAGGAAGGGGTTCTCAGGGGTATGAATTGTGGGAAGGTAGATATATGGGGAGATTAGTGGAATATAAGGGTTATTTAAGCAAGGTCTGTTGAGTATATTCCTCTGTTGCCTTCTCTAGGATGATAAGACCCTAGAGTTGTCTTTGGTGATTAAAAATCATCCAATCCTTCCTGGTAGAAAGGGGGCGGCCAGAGAGTTTTTCTTGTGTCTCTCTATTTTTTGTCTTTCACAATTGTCTTCAGTTCAAAATAATCCAGTGCCAGAGGAGCACATTTTATGGTGGCATACTCTGTACTTCTTCATTACCCAGTCAAGCAAAGCTGCAGATTTATTACCTTTTTATAAAATGAGAAAGATGCTAGATCCTTGCTTCTCAGTGTATGGTCCTGGCCAGTGACATTTGGAAACATATGAAATGAAAAACCATAGGCTGCATGTCAAGGGTGCATTAATCAAAATTTGCATTTTGGCAATACCCTTAGGTGATTCATGTGCCCATTAGAGCTTGAGAAGCACTGCTTGGAAGCCCCTTCTGCCATCAATGAGGTAAAGCCAATGTATGCACCGTTTACTTTGTAGACCCATTTTATAGTCTAAATGCCCTTAGCGACAGTGGATACATGCAGTAGCTTTGGGTTTATGCGGGAAACAACATTCGGCGTTGGTGAACGCGAGGGTAGGACACATGAGGATGGAGAGAGAACATTTCTATTTATAAGGGAATTCCTAGAATGAAGCCGCCAAAGTCTTCACTGTCTTTCTTCAAAACTCTGTCTCCTAAACATAGGTTTTGGTCACCTGTACGTTTGACAGTAATAGCTTCCCAATTGACCTTCGAATTTACAGACTCTATTCTCAAAACTAGTGCTTAGAAATAAACTATGAGAATTTTAAAAACTGGTTTCACAATGATTTTTTGCCCTTCACCTGCTTTCAGTGTACTCACTTCCAAGTGGGCATCAGGATTTCCTAGACTGTTAGCTTCAGTGTATTGTTCAATATGGAAATATATTTTTTTTGATGAGAAGTATCTGTCATATAATGTTTAAACATGAAATCATCAAGAGAAGACAAAACTCATTTTGAAACTAATTTTAAAGTTACCTTTGGTGACTTTTGAACATTATTTTTGAAGACAAATCTTATGAATTAGATCAATTTAGAAGCTACAACTGCTAAATACGTATGTGACTAGAACTTAGGTTTACTGGGCCAATTTCTAAACAAAGACAAAATTACATGTTTCAGCCAGGGGCCATGCAGAGTCTAGTTAAAATGTAGTAAATTCAGTCAGCGCTTTCTGGGTTTAGATGTAATCTGGGACTGAGCTGGAATGTGGCTCAGAGTGGGATGAAGGCAGAAAGACTGGAGTTGAATCTTGGAGCTGAAATGTAGCTATTAGTGCAGTCTTTCCAGAATTGCTGACGTTTTTTGCACATTTGTTTTCTAAACTGATAATTGGTTATAATAATACATATCTCACTGTTTCATTAAAATAACTGATATTAACTATGCCTCCAAACACAGAGCAGGCATTCAATGAAAGTTACATCATATCTCCAATAATTACATTTAATTATTGGAGCTCTTTCATGAATCCATTCTTTTTATCTTTCTAGGACTGTGTGATTGGGTTAAAGGGCTCAGTGCGGGGACTCTGTTTTCTGGTTTCAGTACCACAATGGACACAGGCAACAAAACTCTGCCCCAGGACTTTCTCTTACTGGGCTTTCCTGGTTCTCAAACTCTTCAGCTCTCTCTCTTTATGCTTTTTCTGGTGATGTACATCCTCACAGTTAGTGGTAATGTGGCTATCTTGATGTTGGTGAGCACCTCCCATCAGTTGCATACCCCCATGTACTTCTTTCTGAGCAACCTCTCCTTCCTGGAGATTTGGTATACCACAGCAGCAGTGCCCAAAGCACTGGCCATCCTACTGGGGAGAAGTCAGACCATATCATTTACAAGCTGTCTTTTGCAGATGTACTTTGTTTTCTCATTAGGCTGCACAGAGTACTTCCTCCTGGCAGCCATGGCTTATGACCGCTGTCTTGCCATCTGCTATCCTTTACACTACGGAGCCATCATGAGTAGCCTGCTCTCAGCGCAGCTGGCCCTGGGCTCCTGGGTGTGTGGTTTCGTGGCCATTGCAGTGCCCACAGCCCTCATCAGTGGCCTGTCCTTCTGTGGCCCCCGTGCCATCAACCACTTCTTCTGTGACATTGCACCCTGGATTGCCCTGGCCTGCACCAACACACAGGCAGTAGAGCTTGTGGCCTTTGTGATTGCTGTTGTGGTTATCCTGAGTTCATGCCTCATCACCTTTGTCTCCTATGTGTACATCATCAGCACCATCCTCAGGATCCCCTCTGCCAGTGGCCGGAGCAAAGCCTTCTCCACGTGCTCCTCGCATCTCACCGTGGTGCTCATTTGGTATGGGTCCACAGTTTTCCTTCACGTCCGCACCTCTATCAAAGATGCCTTGGATCTGATCAAAGCTGTCCACGTCCTGAACACTGTGGTGACTCCAGTTTTAAACCCCTTCATCTATACGCTTCGTAATAAGGAAGTAAGAGAGACTCTGCTGAAGAAATGGAAGGGAAAATAAATCTCCTCTACCACAACAGATGTCCTGTAAATGGTCTCTGCATCTATACAGAGGTTCCAAGTAAGAATGTGGAGGAATAGGGCAAATCTTTCTTGGTACACAGAGAAAAAACAAACAAACAAAACAAGCAATACTGTATTTTCTATACATTATCATGTATGATAAAAATGGGAGTTTTTGACATAAGCAAATGGGATTTTTAAGCAAAAAATAATTATACATTGAATTAGGTTTGCTCTGGACTTTGGTTTATAAATTAGAGACATCTGCAATAAAAAGAGTGCTTTGGTATATCAGCTCTAAATTCTTGTTTCTTTTTAAAGATTAGCAAAATTGTCTTAGTATAAAATATTGAGAACTACATTTGTGGAACACGAGGGAAGAGAAATAGGCAAAGGTTAAATGAATTAAAACATGTAACTGAAATTAGAGTGTGTGCAGTTATTGCAGCATAGTATTTTTTGATAAGGTATAGTCAAACAGACAGATATGGAATTAGAACTTGATCATTACAAGGTGCCACATTTGTTTCACAAGGATAGTGAACAAAGCAATCCAAAAAGTGGAGGATGAAAAGTAGATAAACGGGACTGCAGGAGAGTTTGAACAAAGCAACAGAAGTTTCTTGCATAACAACATTGATCATAGAAAAGGAAAAATACTAAAGATTCCATTGGCAAGTCAGCAAGTATAGAACATCCAGTGGTTTCAGGGAAAACATAACCATAGGAAACAATAATTGTAATAACTATCTGATTTTCCTCTAAAGTACTGCATTCCACAGAAAGCAAAATACTTTCCTTTTCAACCATCAACACATGATAGGTCCCTTCTCCTCCCTTTCCTCATTATTGTATGGCTGTGGAAAATGGGGGCTCCAGCAGGCTAACATAGGCTACAGGGATATTCTGTTTGTCTTACTCATATTGACTCACATGTGTACAAAGTAGACAAAGTAGTCTGCTTCTCAAAGAAATGCCTAAGGGGCTGAATAGAAGCTATTCTTCAGGCCGGGCGCAGTGGCTTACGCCTGTAATCCTAGCACTTCGGGAGGCCAAGGCGGGCAGATCACCTGAGGTCAGGAGTTCGAGACCAGCCTGACCAACATGGAGAAACCCCGTCTCTACTAAAAATACAAAATTAGTCGGGTGTGGAGGCGCACGCCTGTAATCCCAGTTACTCGGGAGGCTGAGGCAGAACAATCGCTTGAACCCAGGAGGCGGAAGTTGCAGTGAGCCGAGATCGCGCCATTGCACTCCAGCCTGGGCGACAAGAGCGAAAACTCTGTCTCAAAAAAAAAAAAAAGAAAAGAAGCTACTCTTCAGACCTTGCTTGTTTGTATGATTTGAAACCCCTTCTGGTTTCAAAAGTAAAGTGGTATAATACAGAACAAGAAAGCTATATGTCTGAAGAAAATAGGGGAAGATATCTCATTGTGAGAATGATGCATATTAACTTTCAGAAGTTGTATCTATGTCGAAAGTCTACCTCTTAAGGTACCTATGATGGTTAATACTGAGCGTCAACTTGATTGGATTGAAGGATACAAAGTATTGATCCTGGGTGTGTCTGTGAGGGTATTGCCAAAAGAGATCAACATTTGAGTCAGTGGACTGGGAAAGGCAGACCCAACCTTAATCTGGTGGGCACAATCTAATCAGCTGCCAGGGAATATAAAGCAGGCAGAAAAACGTGAAAAGGAGAGATTGGCCTAGGCTCCCAGCCTACATCTTTCTCCTGTGCTGGATGCTTCCTGCCATTGAACATCTGACCGAGGCAATAGTGATGGCCTCCCCTGATGCAGTTGCCAGGCAAGATAATGTTGATTCTCCTCAGGAGCCACCCCCAATGCCTCTGTTTACTTCCAGACCTATAACTAGACTAAAGTCGCAGTGGGCCCCTAGAGGTGAGGTTGAGAGTGTGACCCTTGAGGAGGTGTGCTACACTCAAAAAGAACTGTTTGAGTTCTGTAATTTATATAAACAGAAATTTGGAGAACAGGCATGGAATGGATATTAAGGGTATAGGATAATGGTGGAAGGAACATAAAGTTGGATCAGGCTGAATTTATTGATTTGGGCCCACTAAGTAGGGACCCTGCTTTTAATGTTGCAGATCAGGGAGCTAAAAAAGGTTCTAATAGTTTATTTGTTTGTTTAGCTGAAATATGGCCCACTGTGAGTGAGCTAGAAATGCCTGATCTCTGTTGGTTTAATGCAGAGGAACAGATCCAAAGGCTTAGGGAGATTGGGATGGTAGGGTGGATTAGTCACTTTAGACCTACTCATCCCAGCTGGGAGGGTCCAAAAGATATACGCTTGACCAATGCCTTGCGAATTAGATTTGTGAGGACAGCACCTGCATCTTTGAAGAGCTCTGTAATTGCTCTTCTCTGTATGTCACATCTAACTGTGGGAACTGCAGTTACTCAACTACAAAATTTAAATACAATGAAAATAATTGGATCCCAAGGAGTCAGGGGCCAAGCAGCAGCACTCAACTGTAAAAGGCAAAGTGGGCGTAGCTACCTTGAAGGGGAGGCTCGGTCCCCTTGAGGAGGGACCCCACTACATTACCAACAATTTATGCAGTGAGTCTTTCTCCCATCCTTCCTCAAGGAGACCTCTGGCCTTTTACCAGGGTAACTGTACATTGGGGAAAGGGAAATGATCAGACATTGTGGGGACTACTGGACACTGGTTCTGAACTGACATTGATTCCAGGGGATCCAAAATATCACTGTGGACCTCCAGTTAAAGTAGGGGCTTAGGGAGGTCAGGTAATTAATGGAATTTTAGCTCAGTCTGACTTACAGTGGGTCCAGTGGGTCCCCAGACTTACCTTGTGGTCATTTCCCCAGTGCCAGAACTTAGCAGAACTTAGCAGCTGTCAGAACCCTCACATTGGCTCCCTGACTGGTAGGATGAGGGCTATTATGGTGAAAAAGGCCAAAAGAAAGCAATTAGAGCTGCTCTACCTAGAAAAATAGTAAATCAAAAACAATGTTGCATCCCTTGAGGGACTGTGGAGATTAGTGCCACTATCAAGAACTTGAAAGATGCAGGGGTGGTGATTCCCACCACATCCCCATTCAACTCTCCCATTTGGATCTTGGAGAATGACAGTGGATTATTTTAAGCTTAACCAAGTGGTGACTCCAATTGCAGCTGCTGTACCAGATGTAATTTTATTGCTTGAGCAAATTAACACATCTCCTGGTACTTGGCATGCAGCCATTGACTTGGCAAATGCGTTTTTCTCCATTCCTATCTATAAGGCACACCAGAAGAAATTTGCCTTCAGCTGGCAAGGCCAGAAATATACCTTTACTGTCCTACCTCAGGGATATATCAACTCTCCAGCTTTGTGTTATAATCTTATTCAGAGAGATCTTGATCACTTTTTGCTTCCACAAGATATCACACTGATTGGCTACATTGATGACATTATGCTGACGGATCAAAAGAGCAAGAAGTAGCAAACACATTGGACTTATTGGTGAGACATTTGCATGCCAAAGGATGGGATGGGAAATAAATCTGACTAAAATTCAGGGACCTTCTACCTCAGTAAAATTTCTAGGGTTCCAGTGGTTATGGGGCCTGTTGAGATATTCCTTCTAAGGTGAAGGATAATTTGCTGCATTTGGCCCTTCCTACCAAGAAAGAGGCACAACGCCTAGTGAGCCTATTTGGACTTTGGAGGCAACACATTCCTCATGTGGGTGGGTTACTGTGGCCCATTTATCCAGTGACCTGAAAGGCTGCCAGTTTTGAGTGGGGTCCAGAACAGGAGAAGGCTCTGCAACAGGTCCAGGCTGCTGTGCCAGCTGCTCTGCCACTTGGGCCGTATGACCCAGCAGATCCAATAGTGCTTGAGGTGTCAGTGGCAGATAGTGATGCTGTTTGGGAGCCTTTGGCAGGCCTCCATAGGTGAATCACAGTGGACGCCTCTAGGATTTTGGAGCAAGGCCCTGCCATCTTCTGCAGATAACTACTCTCCTTTTGAGAGACAGCTCTTGGCCTGTTACTGGGCTTTGGTGGAAACTGAAAAATTGACTATAAGTCATCAAGTCAACATGCGACCTGAACTGCCTATCATGAACTGGGTGCTTTCTGACCCATCCAGCCATAAAGTGGGTTGTGCACAGCAGCATTCCATCATCAACTGGAAGTAGTATATATGGGATCAGGCTCCAGCAGATCCTGAAGGCACAAGTTACATGAGGAAATGGCTCAAATGCCCATAGTCTCCACTCCTGCCACCTGCCTTCTCTCCCCAAAGCCTGCACCGATGGCCTCATCAGGAGTTCCCTATGATAAGCTGACAGAGGAAGAGAGGACTAGGGCCTGGTTTACCGATGGTTCTGCATGATATGTAGGCACCACCAGAAAGTGGACAGCTGCAGCACTACAGCTCCTTTCTAGGACATCCCTGAAGGACAGCGGTGAAAGGAAATCTTCCCAGTGGGCAGAACTTCAAGCAGTGCACCTGGTTGTGCACCTTGCATGGAAGGAGAAATGGCCAGATGTGTGATTATGTACTGATTCATGGGCTGTAGCCAATGGTATGGCTGGATGATCAGGGACTTGGAAGAAGCATGATTGGAAAATTGGTGACAAAGAAATCTGGGGAGGAGGCATGTGGGTGGACCTCTCTGAGTGGACAAAAACTGTGAAGATATTTGTACCCCATGTAAGTTCTCAGCAATGGTTGACCTCAGCAGAGGAAGATTTTAATAATAAAGTGGACAGAATGACCCATTCCATGGACACCACACAGCCTCTTTCCCCAGCCACCTCTGTCATCGCCCACGTCTTTGGCCCATGGACAAAGTGGCCATGGTGGCAGGGATGGAGGTTACACATGGGCTCAGCAACATGGACTTCCACTCACCAAGGCTGACCTTGTTACGGCCACTGCTGAGTGCCCAACTTGCTAGCAGCAGAGACCATCACTGAGACCTCGATATGGCACCATTCCTCAGGGTGATCAGCCAGCTACCCAGTGGCAGGTTGATTATATTGGACCTCTTCCATCTTGGAAAGGGCAGAGATTTGTGCTCACTGGAATAGACGCTTACTCTGGATGGGAGTTTGCCTATCCTTCATGCAAGGCTTCTGCCAAGACTACCTTCCATCAACTCATAGAATGTATTATCCACTGTCATGGTATTCCACATAGCGTTGCCTCTGACCAAGGCACTCACTTTATGGCTGAAGAAGTGCAGCAGTGGCTCATGTTCATGGAATTCACTGGTCTTACCATGTTCCCCATCATCCTGAAGCAGCTGGATTGATAGAATGGGGGAATGGCCTTTTCAAGTCACAATTGCAATGCCAACTAGGTGACAGTACTTTGCACGGCTGGGGCAAAGTTCTTCAGAAGGCCATGTATGCTCTGAATCAGCGTCCAATATATGGTACTGTTTCTCCCATAGCCAGGATTCACGGATCCAGGATTCAGTGGGTGGAAATGGAAGTGGCACCACCCACCATCACTCCTAGTGATCCAGTAGCAAAATTTTTGCTTCCTGTTCCCACAATATTACGTTCTTCTTGTCTAGAGGTCTTTGTTCCAGAGGGAGGAATGCTGCCACCAGGAGACACAACAATGATCCTATTAAACTGGAAGTTAAGATTGCCACTTGGACACTTTGGGCTCCTCCTATCTTTAAGTCAACAGGCTAAGAAGGAAGTTACCGTGTTGGCTGGGGTGATTGGCCCAGGCTATCAAGATGAAATCAGTCTACTACTCCACAACGGAGGTGAAGAAGAGTATGCATGAAAACCAGGAGATCCATGAGGGCATCTCTTAGTATTACCATGCCCTGTGATTAATGTCAATGGGAAACTACAACAGCCCAATCCAGGCAGGACTACAAATGGCCCAGACCCTTCAGGAATGAAAGTTTGGGTCACTCCATCAGGAAAATAACCACGATGTGTTGAGGTGCTTGCTGAGGGCAAAGGGAATACAGAATGGGTAATAGAAGAAGGTAGTCATCAGTACCAACTGTGACCACATGACCAGCTGCAGAAATGGGGACTGTAATTGTCATGAGTATGTCTTCCTTCTTTTGTTAAAAACATGTTTGTGCATGTATACACTTGTATTGAGAAAATATCTGTATTTTATTTCTTTTTTCCTTTATCATGTGACATAAAATTTATTGACTTCATATCAGCATTTAAATATTGTTAACTTTATGTAATAGTATTTGAGTTGGGGATTGGTGTGTTTCCAGTTGTATGAGGGATAGTTGTATTATGTTAGGCATAATTATGACCTTATTATTGTCTTTATTTGAAGATTAGGTATGATTTCAGGAGATGTGTATGGGTTCAAGTTGACAAAGGGTGGACTTGTGATGGTTAATACTGAGCAACAATTTGATTGGATTGAAGGATACAAGGTATTGCTCCTGGGTGTGTCTGTGAGGGTGTTGCCAAAAGAGATTAACATTTGAGTCAGTGGGCTGGGGACGGCAGATCCACCCTTAATGTAGTGGACACAATCTAATCAGCTGCCAGGGAATATAAAGCAGGCAGAAAAACATGAAAAGGAAAGATCTAGCCTCCCAGCCTACATCTTTCTCCTGGGCTGGATGCTTCCTGCCCTCCAACATAGGACTCCAAGTTCTTCAGTTTTGGGACTCGGACTGGTTCTCCGTGCTCTTCAGCTTGCAGACACCCGATTGTGGAACTTTGTGATCACGTAAGTTAATACTTAGTAAACTCTCCATACATGTATATATATGTTAATATATATCCTATTAGTTCTGTCTCTCTAGAGAACCCTAATACAGTACTCATAAAAAACACTGCGTACCTGATCTGTTCCCTTCATTTATTCATTCTGAGGATTAGTTTCAGATCCATGGCATTCCTAAACATATTCTTGGAGATTTCTAAAAATCAAAATTCCTAATAAAAATCAGATTGCTACCCTCTGAGGATGAATAGCCTTCCTGTTTCCATAGGTTAGGCCTCAATTTCCAAAACCTCCAAAAGCAGCACCTACTATCTATCTCAACAAGAGTTATCTTCAACACCTCTCTACTTCTGCTACTCACCTCAGTACTGAAAAGAAGAATGTAGTCTTCAGCTTTTCAAGTGAATGAATCATTTTGATATGGAATTGTATCTAAAACTTAATGTTAAGTGAAGGAGTATCGAAATGAACAGAATGCTTTCATTGACTCAGGTCTTTTCTTTCTATACTGATTTAAAAACACACCCCACTTAAGCATAATTTGCATAATTAATTTTCAAGCAAATATACTTGACTACTAGAATTCTGATTCACTTTTCTTTCTTCTTTCTTTAGCCTATAACTTACGATGATACATTTGTAGATAAAATACATATTATTCAGAATTATCTTCCAGTAATAAATTACTGGCAGTGGAAAAACAATAGATGCCCCATCAGGGAAAATAGAAGTTTGAAAAAAATAGGTTTAACCATAATAAATTGCCTTTGTACAACAAATACAGCACTGAAGGAATATAACAATCAATCTAAAAATTAAATCTATGCACACATAATTTTTGTACAATGGTGAGGGTAAAATTAAATTATATTTAGTCATTATATTCAAAACAGCAATTCCATTACTATCTACCAAAAAGAAAATAAATCATTACAATATATAAAGACACATGCACACGTATGTTCATTGCAACACTATTCACAATAGCAATGACATGGAATCAACCTAAATGTCCATCACAAATAGACCGGATAAAGAAAATGTGGTACATACACACCATGGAATACTATGCAGCTGTAAAAAAGAATGAGATCATGTCGTCTGCAGAAACATGGATGGAGCTGGAGACCATTATCCTTAGCAAACTAACCCAGGAACAGAAACCAAATTCCACATGTTCTCACTTTTAAGTGGGAGCTAAATGGTGAGAACACATGGACACATAGAGGGGAACAATACATACTGGGGCGTATCATGGGTGGAGGGTGGGAGGAGGAAGAGAATCCAGAAAAATAACTAATGGCTACTAGGCTTAATACCTGGGTGATGAAATAATCTGTGCAACAAACCCCCATGACACAAGTTTACCTACGTAACAAACCTGAACATGTACCCCAGAATTTAAAACAAAACTTAGATAAATAAACAAATACATTTATTAAAAGTAGTTCAGGATTTGCTAGCAATTCTCCCACATTTCACCCCACCCATAACATTACATATGATCAAGGACTATATTATTACTAAGCTGGTTTTGTTATTTTATTCTGTCTTCTTTTTCCTCCTTCAGTGTGTATCTGATATTCATTTCAAGTATGCTTGAGTTTATTTGCTTTCATTTTCTTTCAGTTTTAGGACTTCCATGTTTCTCATTGTTATAGATTTTATGTTTTGAATATGAAGAATATTAACATGCTTCACAAGTCAAAAATGCACAAGAAGATACATGCAAGAAGGGATATTCCCTGCCCTATACCTTTTACTTCTTCCCACTTTTCACCTATTGTAGCTAATACACTAAAATGTTTTTTACTTTTATTTTCTGTGTTTTCATTTGTAGGCTAGCAGATATGCTTTCTCTATTTTCCTTTTCTTTCTATACAAGAGGTTGTACTCTATATTTTTTAGTAGTTAGCTTTTTTCACTTAGCAATATTTCTTTGAAACGCTATATACAGATCTACCGCATTCTTTTCTTACATTTGCATAATGCTTCCATTGTGTAGATGTACAAAAGCTTATTCAATCAATTTTCTATGCCTGAATATTGAAGTTATTTTGCAATATTTAGCAATTATAAATAGTGCTATGATGAATAATTTTCTACATCTTTTTTGTACTGTCAGAGATCTATTTTCTGGTTATCAGCAAATTATTGGGTCGATGTTTAGTTAGTTTTGTTAGATATAACCCAAATTTCCAAAATGGGGTTGCATCATTTGTATTATCATGAATAATATGTGAGAATGCCTGTTTCTCCACATTCCCATCAACAGAATGCCCTGTCAAGGTTTTGCATTTTTGCCAGTTTCATGAGAAGTGGTATCTTAAGGTTGTTTTAATTTGCATTTATCTTATTATTGTGAAATTCACCATTAAAAATATATCTAATAACGATTTTCATATCTCTATATGAATTGCTCTAATATCTTTTGCAATTTTCCATAGATTTTAAAAATCTTTAGTCAATGTTTAATCTTTTTATATATTAAGGATGTTAGCCTTTCACCTATAATGTATGCCACACATATTTTTTCTCCATTATTTTTAACTGCTCATGGTGTTTTCCCCTGTATTTTACTTTAATTTTATGTAGTCAAACAGATTATATTTCTATTGCACATAGATTTTAAGTCTTGGTTAGAAGGCCATTCCCTACTCTGAGATTACAGAAAAAAAATCCATTTTTTCCTAGTATTTGTAATTGCCACATTTCCAGTTTTACATTTAGATCTCTGAACCATTTTTTTTCCTGTGGTTAACATGAGGAATGAATCTAATTTTGATTCTGGCAAATAACTATACAGTTGTTCTAACTCCATATATTTAAAAAACTATCTTTGCCCTAGTAATTTGCAATAGTGATTTTATCATATGTTAAATTTCTATATGTAGTAGGACCTATTTCTAGGTTTGTCTTCTATCTCCCTCCCCTCACTTCCTGGTCTCTTTCCTTCTTCTCTCCTTTCAAACAGGCTCCAATGCCTCATTATTCTATTATACTCTCAGCAGTAATTTTAAAATTTAATACAGCAAATCCTGCCTCCTAACTATTTCTGCTCAGTATTTTTCTAGTTGATATTACGTATTTACTTTTTCATGATTTAGGATCATGTGTCTAGCTTGACCAAAAAGCTTGCAGTTTTCATTGCTTTTGTATTAAATGTATAAAAATAACTTTAGAACTGACCATTTCATGAGACTTTCTAACTTAGAACATAGATTACATTTCAATTTATGCAAGTATACTTTTCCATTAAAATTTGTTATTATAAGGTCATTTTAGTTTCACATGTAGTTTTAAGAAATAATACTAAGAGGTTCTTGGTACAGTTTACTAGTTTCTCACAATGGTAACATTTTGCAAAACTTTAGTACAATATCACAAACAGCAATTGACATTGATAAAATTCACAATCTTATTCCAATTTCCCCAGTTTTACTTTCACTTATTTGTGTGTGTGAATTTATTTCTGTATAATTTTATCACATGTGAAGGTTTATCCACCACTGTAGCAAAGATAATAAACAGTTCCATCACCAAAAGGACCTCTTATGTTGCCCTTTTATAGCAACCACTTCCTTTCCACTGCTTATCCTTTATCGCTGGCAACCACCAATCTGTTTCCTTTCCTAACATTTTATTATCTCAACAATGTTTTATAAGTGGATCATACAACTTGTAATATTATAGTATTACCTTTTATTACTCAGCATGGTTTCTTTGAGATTATCAAAATTGTTATGTATATCAATAGTTTACTTCTTTTTATTTCAAGTAGCATACGATGCTATGTATGTTTCACAGTTCATTTAACCATTCACCTATTGAAGGACTTCTGGGATGCTTTCACTTTTTGAAAATTATGAAGAAAGCTTCTATCTACGAGCTTTCATGTACAAGTTTGTAATATATATGTGTATATATACAAATGACATATATGTGTATATATACAAATGACATATATGTGTATATATACAAATGACATATATGTGTATATATACAAATGACATATATGTGTATATATACATATGACATATATGTGTATATATACATGACATATATGTGTATATATACATATGACATATATGTTTATATACCCATATATACATATGTGTATATATACATATATACATCTATGGCATATATGTGCATACATATATGGCATATATGTGCATACATATATGTACATATACATATATGGGACATGTATGCACATATACCTATCTGGGGCATGTATGTGTATACATGTATACATGTATGGGACATTTATGTATGCACGTGTATACATATATGTATGCACATATATGGCATATATGTATATATAGCTATATGGGACATATATGTATATATAGATATATGGGACATATTGTATATATAGATATATGGGACATATTGCATATATATGTATATACATATATGCATATATGAAATATATATGTATATATATGTATCTTCATTCCTGTGGGATTAACACCCAAGAGTAGAAGTGTCGGATTGTATAATAATTGCATGTTGAGTTTTATAAGAACCTGATGAACCTGTTTTCCAGAGGCACCGTACCATTTTACATTCCCACTAGCAATGCATAAGCAATCCAGTTTTTCTTTATCCTGATTTAAAAAAAAAAATAGTCATTCTGATAGCCCGTGACAGTTTAAATTTACATTTATTTAATGGCTAGTCATTTTGAACATATTTTCATGTGTTTATTTGCCATGTGTATATCCTCTCTAGTGAAATATCTATCCATGTCTTATGATCCTTTTAAAATTGGATGTTTATCTTTTTTTTGCAGATTCTTTGGGAATTTCTACATAGACAAAATGTCATCTGCAACTAGAGATTGTTTTCTTTCTTCTTTTCCGATCTCTATACCTTTTATTATTTTTCCTTCTCTTATTATAGAAGCTAGAACTTCCAGTACCTTTTTATTGAGTAAGAAAGATGAAAATGGACATTCTTACCTTGTTCCCTACTATTTGGAAAAGCATTTAGTCTTTATTAAGTCTGATGTTACCTGTAGATTTTTTGTAGATGGTCTTCAGCAGGTTAAGATAATTTGTCTATTTTTGACTTACTGAAAATTTTAAATAAAATGATTATAAATAAGAGCTGAATTTCGACAAATGCTTTTGCTGCATCTTTTCCCTGTTAACATAGTTGATTCTATTAATTTTCAAATATTGAACTAAGCTTGCATACCTGGAGTAAATGTCCTTTGTTGTGTTATCCCATACTTTTTATACATTGTTAGATTTGTTTTCATATTTTGTTAAAGATTTTATATCTAGGCTCATAAGAGTCACTGGTCATAAGAAATAGTGTAATTTTTTTTGTGTGTACTGTTTTTATATTTTCTTTGTTGTATTAATTGACGTCAGGGGTTCAACACCAGCCTGGCCAATATGGTGAAACCCCGTATCTACTAAAAATACAAAAATTAGCCAGGCAGGATTGCAGGTTCCTGTAATTCCAGCTACTCAGGAGGTTGAGATGGGAGAATCGCTTGAACCCGGGAGGTGGAGGTTGCAGTGAGCTGAGATCGTGCCATTGCCCTCCAGCCTGGGCTACTGAGCGAACTCTGTCTCAAAAACAAAACAAAACAAAACAAAAATTAACCTCATAAGATATTGTATAAAATCCACATTAATATTTTCTTTAAAAGTTTGGTCAATTCTTTAGTGAACCATTTTGGACTGAAAATGTCTCTGTCAGAGGCTTTAATTTATAAATTAAATTTCCTTAGTGGTTATGGGAATATTCATATTACCTCTTTCATCTTCGTTGAGTTTAGGTAGTTTACAATTTTTAAGAAATTGGTCTATTCTTTTTTCTAAG